>NC_000002.12:56857018-57160049 GCF_000001405.40 Homo sapiens
GAGAGACAGTTTGAATTCCTCTTTTCCTATTTGGATTCTCCGTATTTCTTTCTTTTGCCTGATTGCTGTGGCTGGGACTTCCAGAACTATGTTGAAAAGGAGTCAAGAGAGTGAGCATCCTTGTCTTGTTTCAATTCTCAAGGGGAATGCGTCTAGCTTTTACCTGTTCAGTATGACATTGGCTGTGGGTTTATCATAGATGGCTCTTATTATTCTGAGGTATGTTCCTCTGATACCTACTTTGTTGAGGGTTTTTAACATGAAGAGATATTGAATTTTATCAAAAGCACTTGTGAATCTAGTGAGATGACTTTGTGTGGTTTTTGTTTTTGGTTGTGTTTATGCAATGACTTACATTTATTAATTTATGTAAGTCAACCAACCTTGCATCCCAGGAATAAAGCCTACTTGATCATGGTGGATTTGCTTTTTGTTGTGCTGCTGGATTTGGTTTAGTAGTATTTCACTGAGGATTTTTGCATCTATGTTCATCAGGGATATTGGCCTGATGTTTTCTTTTTTTGTTTTTTCTCTGCCAGGTTTTGGTGTCAGAATGATACTGGCTTCATAAAATGAGTTATGGAGGAGTTTCTTCTCAATATTTTGGAATAGTTTCAGTATGGTTAGTACTATCTCTTCTTTATACAGCTGGGAGATTTTGGCTGTGAATTCTGTCTGGGCTAGGGCTTTTTATGCTTGGTAGGTTTTGTTTACTGATTCAATTTCAGAACTCATTATTGGTCTGTTCATGGTTTCAATTTCTTCCTGGTTCAGTCTTGGGAGATTGTATCTTTCTAGGAATTCATCCATTTCTTCTAGGTTTTCTAATTTGTGTTCATAGGGATATTTGTAATATCTTTGGTTTCTCTATTTCTATGGGGTGTAGTAATGTCCCCTTGTCATTTCTGATTATGTTTATTTGGATCTTTCTCTTTTTTCTCTTTATTAGTCTAGCTAGTGGTCTATCAATCTGTTTTTCAAAGAACCAACTTTTGCTGTCATCGATCTTTTGTATGGCTTTTTATGTTTCATGTTTGTTCAGTTCAGCTCTGTTTTTATTTCTTTCCTTCTGCTAGTGTTGTGATTGGTTTTCTCTTGTTTTTCCAGTTCATCTAGGTGTGATTAAGTTGATAATTTAGGACTCTTTGTAACTTTTTGATGTGAATGTTTAGTGCTATAAACTTTCCACTTCACACTGATTTTACTGTGTCCCAGAAATTCTGACATGTTGTATTTTTGTTTTCAGTAAATTTCAAAGAATTTCTTGATTTCTGCCTTAATTTCATTGTTTACTTAAAAGCTGTTTAGGAGCAGTCTGTTTAATTTTCATCTACTTGTATGGTTTTGAGAGATGTTTTCGGTATTGATTTCTATTTTTATTGTGCTGTTGAGAGTGTGGATGGCATGATTCTTCTGTTTGTTTGTTTGTTTATTTATTTATTTATTTATGTATTTATTTATTTTTTAAAGACAGAATTTGCCTCTGTAGCCCAGACTGGTGTGCAGCGGCATGATCATGGTACACAGCAGACTCAAACTCCTAGTCTCTAGTAATCCTTCCATCTCAGCTTCCTTAGTATGTGGGAGTACAGGCACATGCTGCATACAGTGCTCATTTTTTAAATATTTGTAAAGACAGGATCTCACACTGTTATCCAGTCTGGACTTCAACTCCTGGCCTCAAGCACCCCTCCTGCCTTGGCTTCCTAATGTGCAGGGATTACAGGGATGAGCTACAACACCCCGCTGATATTGGTTTTTAAAAATTTGTTGAGAATTTCTTTATGGCTGAGCACGTGGTCGATTTTAGAATATGTGCCATGTGGAGACATTAAAAATGTACATTTTTTTGTCATTGGGTAGAATATCCCCTAGATGTCTGTTTGGTCCATTTGGTCAAGTGTTGAGTTTAGGTCTTGAATGTTTAGGTCTTTGTTAGTGTTCTGCTTCAGCGATCTGTCTAATACTGTCAATTGGGTTTCCACTATTATTGTGTGATTATCAAAGTCTCTTGGTAGGTTCTCAGAACTTGTTTCGTGAATCTAGGTGCTCCAGTGTGGGGTGCATTTATATTTAGGATAGTTAAGGCTTCTTATTTAATTCAACCCTTTATCATTATGTATTGTTTTTCTTTGTCTCTTTGACTGTTTTTGTTTGTTTGTTTGCTGTTGTTGTTTTTGTTTTGAAAGGATCTGGCTCTGTCACCCAGGCTGGCGTGCAGAAGTGCAATCTCAGCTCATTGCAAACTCCGCCTCCTGGGCTCAAGCCATCCTTTCACTTAGCCTCCCAAGTAGCTGGGACTACAGGTACACACCACCAAACTTGGCTATTTTATGTAGAGACTGGGTTTCACCATGTTGCCCAGGCTGGTCTTGAACTCCTGAGATAACTGATCTGCCTGCCTCAGCCTCCCAAAGTGCTGGGATTATAGGCATGAGCCATGGTGCCTCGCCTGTTTTTGGTTTATAATCTGTTTTGTCTGCACTGAGAATTAGCAACACGTGCCCTGTTTTGTTTTTCATTTGCTTGGTAAATTTATCTGTATCCCTTTACTTTGAGCCTAAATGTGTCACTCCATGTGAAATGGGTCTCTTGAAGATTGCATATACTTTAGTCCTGCTTCTTTATCCAACCTGCCATTTTGTGCCTTTTAAGTAGGGTGTTTAGCTCATTTATATTCAAGGTTATATTGATATGTACAGATTTGATCCTGTTATTTTGTTGTTATTGTTATGCAGGCCGGATTGTGTAGTGGCTTTATAGTGTCAGTGGGCTATGTACTTAAGTGTGTTTTTGTGATGACAGGTACCAGTCTTCACTTCCATGTTTCCTTAAGAACCTCTTGTAAGGCAGTTTTTCTGGTAATATATTTCCTTAGCATTTGCTTGTGTCTGAAAAGGAATTTATTTCTCCTTCTTTATGATGCTTAGCTTAGCTGTATATGAAATTCTTTGTTAGAATTTCTTTTGTTTAAGGATGCTGAATACAGACCCAATCTCTTCTGGCTTGTAGGGTTTCTGTTAGCTGGTCTGCTGTTAGCCTGATGATTTCTGTTGATGTGTCTGCTGTTAGCCTTCCTTTGTAGGTGGCCTGCCCCTTCTCTGTAGCTGCCTTTAATATTTTTTTTCTTTTACATTGATTTTGTTGAATCTGATAATTATGTGTATTGGGGATGGTCACCTTATATAGTAAATTGCAGGGGTTCTCTGAGTTTCCTGAATTCAAATGTCAACCTCTCTAGCAAGGTTGGGGAAATTTTTGTGGACAATATCCTGAATATGTGTTGCAAGTTGCTTGTTCTCTCTCCCTGTCTTTCAGGGATACCAATGAGTCGATAAACAGTTTGCTGTTTGATCATATAGCCTCAGTAGAATGCTGAGGTGGTCAAGTCCCACAGGCCTTTGGCTCCCTGCAGTTCTCTAGCCCCTTGAGGTTAAGTACCTGCTGTGCCAGAGGGACTGAGGTGTTACTGGTCCATTGGCAACAACATTCTGATGGAAGGTGCTGGCAAAAGTGCTTCACTAGGGTGGTGACAGTGGGGTCTTAATTTGTGTGCATGCTCTGGTAATGACAAGATGGCAGCAACCATGCATGCATATGCACTGGTGGGGGCAGAGCAGCTGTGTGGTGAGGTCTGCTTGCATGCCAAAAAAGCAATGGAAGGAGACTGTGGGCAAGTGTACATTGGTGGGGCATGTCTAGAAAAGCTCTCTGATGGTTAGTTTGGTCTCTACATAATCTCATATTTCTCAGAAGTTTTGTTCACTCTTTAAAATTCTTTGTTATTTATTTTTGTCTCAATGAGTTGATTCAAAAAACTGATATTTGAGCTTTGAGAGTCTTTCCTCGGCTTGGTCTATTCTTCTGTTAAAACTTTCAATTTCATCATAAGAATTATGAAATTCTTACAGTGAGCTTTTCAGCTCTATCAGATTAGTTTAGTTCTTTCTTTAAAAGGGTGTTTTGCCTTTCAGCTTTTATATTGTTTTACTGGATTCCTTAAATTCCTTGGATTGGATTTTGACATTCTCCTGAATCTCAGTGGTCTTCTTTCCTGTCCAGATTCTGAATTCTATGTCTGTCATTTCAGCCATTTAAGTCTGCTTAAGAGCCATGGCTGGGGAGCTAGCATGGCCATTTGCAGGTAAGAAGACACTCTGGGTTTTAGAGTTGCCCAAGTTCTTAACACTGTTTTTTTCTTATCTGTGTGAGCTGATGTTCTTTTAATCTTTGAAGTTGCTGTCTTTTAAATAGGGATTTGTGATTTTATATTCTTTGATGTCTTGGATTGACTTTGGTATAAGATATGTTTAGTCATCTGGCTTTATTTCTGAATGATCTCAGGGGACCAGGACTCAGCTCAGAACTCCTCGGCTGCCTGCTGTACTCCTGGGGCCTAGGAATAGGCCCATGACATTGTTCTCTGTTGAGCACCTGATTCTGTCGCTGTTCGGGGTGCCACTATGTAACCTGCCACGATCACTGGTGGACTGAACAAAGGGGGCGAACATGGGAATACAAGACAAGAGATAAAAGAGTATATTTGGAAGAAGGGGTCAGGGGGCACCTTGCCTCTAGTGGAAAAGGGCCCTGAGTTTTACACAGCCCTCCATATTTATTAGGCAAAAGAGATAGTGAGAAAGGGGGTGGAAGAAGGGGTCAGCTGCTCAGTCCAGAGTAGGCTTGCAAGACTGCATTCTCTAGATGTCCCAGTAGACAACCTCAAGGAGCTCAGCACCAGCAAGCGATTTTCCTCAGCAAATCTTCTGGGGCAGGCAGAGAAGTGAATTTGCCCACATTCTGTATTCATGATAAACAGTTTGCTGTTCGATCATATAGCCTCAGTAGAATGCTGAGTTGGTCAAGTCCCACAGGCCTTTGGCTCCCTGCAGTTATTTAGCCCCTTGAGGTTAAGTAGCTGCTGTGCCAGAGGGTCTGAGGTGTTACTGGTCCATTGGCAACAACACTCTGATGGAAGGTGCCGGCAAAAGTGCTTCACTAGGGTGGTGACAGTGGGGTCTTAATTTGTGTGCATGCTTTGGTAATGACATGATGGCAGCAACCATGCATGCATATGCACTGGTGGGGGCAGAGCAGCTGTGTGGTGAGGTCTTCTTGCATGCCAAAAAAGCAATGGAAGGAGACTGTGGACAAGTATACGTTGGTGGGGCATGTCTGGAAAAGTTCTCTGATGGTTAGTGTGAGGTCTACTGTTGAAAGAACTATGGCAGTGGTCACTGGAAAGTGGCCTGATTGAGCATCTGAGGCTACGCCACAAGTGAGTGTGACCAGGCAGGGGCGCTGGGAGAGACTGTCAGGCAAGGGAAGCACTCAGATCAGTCTGTCCCCATCCCACAGGTAAGATAGCCCTGTTCTGTCTAGGTTCAACAGTCAACAAAGCTCAAAGCCACCTATAGAAGCATAGCATGCTTTGGGGAATGGGCATCCCTGGCCATGCTCCACCACAGCCATTCTCACATCAAACCCTCTAGGCTCTGTGCAGACCACTGTCCTGTCCCTATCAACTCTCCAAGCAGCAATCCCTGCCAGCTCAAATGTCTGTGTGGGTGGTGGGGACTCTTGCAGCAAGGATTCCAGAGATCCATGGTAACAGTGGGGTGCTCTATGCCTATTTAGCTCATTCTTTCCCCAGGAGTTACTTAGGCACAAGAAGGAGTCTGGTGCTCAGCATCCCTGTGCAGGGTTCCCAGCTTCCTTCTCTTTCAGCCCAGGGTCTGCTTCCTCCTTCTGTTCACTTTCAGTGGTTTTCTTTTGAAGAGCTTCTTGGAGTGTGTCAGTCTTCTTGATGGTCTGGTGTCTTGGTGAAAAGCTCATCCTGGCTGCAGCTAGTCAGCCATCTTGGCTCCCTTCTCCAAAAAATATTTTTTATAAACAGTATAAACTAAGTGTACAGTATTTGTAAAGTCTACGGTAGTGTATATTAATGTCCTAGGCCTTTATGTTTATTCACCATTCACTGACTTACCCAGAGCAACTTCCAGTCCCACGAGCTTCATTCGTGGTAAGTTCCCCACAAAGATGCACCATTTTTTATCTTCAACCATATTTTTACTGTACCTTTTCCATGTTTAGACATACACTTACTTACCATTGTGTTATGATTACCAAGAGTATTCAGGACAGTAACTTTTGTGCAGGTCTGTAGCTTAGGAACAATAGACTGTACCACATAGCCTATGTGTGTAGTAGGCTATAACTTGTACATTTATGTAAGTATAATCTCTGATCTTCACACAATGATAAAATTACCTAATGGCACTTTTCTCAGAACTTATCACTGTTATTAAATGGCACATTACCGTAATTGTTTTAAATATACCACCTTAGTCTTTGCTTTCTAACTTTGCCATCTACTCTTTGATCCTTTTTTCTCCTTTCTGTCTTCCTTAAGATTGACTGGATATTTGTTATGATTTTGTTTTGTCTTTTTTGCTGATTTATTAAAGACCTATATTGGGATCTAATTTCTTAATGATAATTTTATGAGTCTAGTTTCTAGTGATGTTATAGTACTTCACCTATATTACAACTATGTACTTTATTTCTCTTCAAACTATGCCCACAATTCTTATTTTATTTCAGTTTTATTCAATTTAAAGGTATTTAAGCATTAATCAAAAAGCATTTCATATTTACCCTCATAGTTACATATTTCTGGTGCTCTGTATTCTGCTATATAGATAAAAACTTACATATTCTATTATCCTCTGTCTAAAGAACTTGCTTTAATATCTTCTGTAGTTTAGATTTGCTGATGACAAATTGTTTAGCTTTTTCATATCAAAAAATTTTTACTCCAACCTCATTTTTGAAAGATATAGTTGCATGTTGTATAGAATCCTAGGTTAATCAATTTTTTGTTTGTATGCATGTGTGTGTGTGTCTGTGTGTGCTTGGTCATTACTTTAAAAATGTTTGACTGTCTTCTCCCTTGCCTGTGTCTCATGATAAATCTGCTTTCATTTTAATCTTATTTCCTCTATACATAAGGTGTCTGCTTTTAGATTTTCTCTTTATCACTGTTCTTAGGTAACTTGATTGCTTTGGTGTAGTTTTCTTCATCTTTCTTTCACTATAGTCTTACTGAACATCTTGAAACTGTGGTTTCAACTGCTTGAAGTTGTTTTACAGCCGAACGATGCTCTGTGAGCGTTTTTCTCTCTTCTCTCTGTATTCCACTTTGGGTAGACTGCGCTGCAAATCTTTAAGTTCACTTATCTGCAATGTCTAATTTGCAATTACTGTCTTTTAGTGTATTTTTAAACTCAAACTTTAGTTTCCCTACAAAAGTTGAATATGCACATTAAAGAAAATCATCTATGTCTCTATTTATATACTTGATATTTTTATAGCTTTTTAAACACGAGGAATACAGTTATTAAAAAATGTCTTATTGTTCTTGATTACAAATTTCTTCATCTGTATATCATTTAGATCAATTCCAATTGATTGACTTTTTCCTCCTGTTTATATTAACATTTCTTAATTTTGTGTTCTTAGTAAATTTTTGTTAGATGCCAGTCATTATGAAATTGATCATTTTGTGTGCTGCATATTTTTGTATTCCTATACATATTCTTAAGCTTTGTACAGCAATGTAGTTAAGTCGCTTTGGAACAGTTTGATACACTGAGGTCTTGCTTAAAGGCTTTGTTAAACAAGACAATGGCAACTTTAATAAAAATCTAGCCTACTTACAGAGTCAAAATATTGCTGAGTACTCTATCCAATGCCTATGAATTATGAAGTTTTCCATTTTGGTTGGTGGGAATAGCTATTCCTGGCCCTGTGTGAGTTCTAAAGATTCTCCTCATAACCTTTTAGGTATTTCTCTTCCCCAACTTTTGTATATGCATGTATCAGCACTCTTGAGGAAATTTTTTAAAAGACTCTCTGCAGATCATAACTTTTTCTCTGTGCAACTGTATCCTCTGAGATATCTTTCCCTGGGTACTTTGGCTAGTGTGGCTCCAGATGCTCAGTTCCATCTCCTCAACTCAGGAAGACCAACAGACTCTGCTAGGTTCCTGCTTCCTGCTCCTACAAGTACTCTGAGTCAGTTATAGGGCTCACCTCATGTGTTCCTTGTCTCTCAAGGATTTTATCATTTTTTATTGCCTGATCTCTAACATCTTAAAAGCTGTTTTATCTATTTTTGTTTCAAGAGGGAGAGTAAATCTGATGTCTCTTATTCCATCTTGCCCAGTGTGCAGGCTGTTGATTTTTTTGTTTGTTTTTGACAAAGGCTTGCACAACGACCATGCATGCCATGTGAAACAATGAAAGGTTTACCCTGAGGATCAATGAAGAACTTTCAATGCTCAGTGACTGAAACCTGTCTCTTTATAGATTAGTTTAAGGTGAAAATGTAAAGCATAATTGAACATGCCCATAAATCACATTCCTGGAAAAGATCATTCTTTTAGTATAATTGATAATATATATAAATAAATAAAAATATACATTTGGAGAACAGCATAAATTGGAGATAACCTTATGAAGAATTTCTAAAAATATATTTATAATGTAAATTTAAATATTTCATAAAAGAGGTGATATTTAGTTATTTTTAATGAAGCCTGCAGACTTCATAAAAAATGACATTTTATACTATTTGTGTAACCTTTGTTGCCTTAGTGATATCATGCATTTCCCAAGTCATAAAACCTTGAACGGTAGTTTCTTTTTTAAACCCCTTTAAAATCCATTCTGCATAATAAAATAAATGCTCTATCTGTATAATCAGAAGGAGGTAAAAACTTGATGCGATTAACCAGGAAAATCAATTTTTTTCATTTTTATTTAGCTATTTCTATACTTATATAAGAAAAAACTTTTTATTCATTTATTTTGTATTTTTTGCCATTAAACTATTAACATAAATAATTATTGCTCTTTTGGCATTCATAGTACCAAATGATGTCAAATAGCTTCCCACTCTGCCTCCATCTGCTAAATTCATTATGTTTTGTCCAATTAATTGCCTCTTCCTGTATTGTTCATAGGCATTCTAATAGCAAGCATTTCTCTGCTTAACGAAAAAGAAAGTTGGCATTTTTTTACGGCAGTCAACAGATTAGTATATTATCAACAATAATAAATACTTGTATACACTAGAAACCCATAATTTACTTTTCTGTGTATTCGTATATGACCCTCCCTCAATACTTCCATGTTACGTGTAGTGATCATAGCTGTATGTGAGAAAATAGAGACTACAAAAAGGAAAATGACTTGATGAGTTTATGGACCTGGGAAAATGAGAGTTATGACTCTTTATTGGTCCATTCTTGCATCACTATAAATACCTGAGGGTGGCTAATTTATAAAGAAAAGAGGTCCGCCATGATCAAGTCGGCTTTATCCCTGGGATGCAAGGCTTGTCCAATGTATGCAAATCAATGAACTTAATCTGTTACATAAGCAGAACCAATGACAAAAACAACATGATTATCTCAGTAGATGCAGAAAAGGCCTTTAACAGAATTCAACACCCCTTCATGTTAAAAACTCTCAGTAAACTAGGTATATATAGAATGTATCTCAAAATAGTAAGAGCTATTTATGACAAACCCATAGGCAATATCCTACTGAATGAACAAAAACTGGAAGCATTTCCTTTTAAAACTGGTGCAAGACAAGGATGCCGTCTCTCACCACTCCTATTCAACATAGTATTGGAAATTCTGGCCAGGGCAATCAGGCAAGAGAAAGAAATAAAGGGTATTCAGATCGGGAGAGAGGAAGTCAAATTGTCTCTTTTTGCAGATGACATGATTGTATATTTAGAAAATTCCATTGTCTCAGCCCACAATCTCCTTAAGCTGATAAGCAACTTCAGCAAAGTCTCAGGATATGAAATCAATGTGCAAAAATCACAAGCATTCCTATATACCAGTAATAGACATATGTAGCCAAATCATGACTGAACTCTCATTCACAATTGCTACAAAGACAATAAAATACCTAGGAATACAACTTATAAGGGATGTGAATAACCTCCTCAAGGAGAACTACAAACCACTGCTCAAGGAAATAAGAGGACACAAACAAATGGAAAAACATTCCATCCTCATGGATAGGAAGAATCAATATCGCAAAAATGGGCATACTACCCAAAGTAATGTATAGATTCAATGCTATCCCCATCAAGATACCACTGACTTCCTTCACACAGTTAGAAAAAACTACTTTTAATTTCATATGGAAGCAAAAAACAGCCCATAGCTAAGACAATATTAATCAAAAAGAGCAAAGCTGGAGGCATCATGCTACCTAACTTCAAATTATACTACAAGGGTACAGTAAACAAAACAGCACATTACTGGTACCAAAACAGATATATAGACTAATGGAACAGAGCAGAGGCATCAGAAATAACACCACACATCTGCAACCATCTGATCTTTGACAAACCTGACAAAAACAAGCAATGAGGAAAGGAATCTCTATTTAATAAATGGTGTTGGGAAGACTGGCTAGCCATAAGCAGAAAACTGAAATTTTACTCCTTCCTAACACTTTATACAAAAATTAACTCAAGATGGATTAAAAACTTACACGTAAGACCTAAAACCATAAAAATCCTAGAAGAAAACCTAGGCAATACCATTTAGGACACAGGCATGCGCAAAAACTTCATGATTAAAACACCGAAAGCAATGGCAACAAAAGCCAAGATTGACAAATGGCATCTAATTAAACAAAAAATCTTCTGCACAGCTAAATAAACTATCATCAGAGTGAACAGCAACCTACAGAATGGGAGTAACTTTTGCAATCTATCCATCTGACAAAGGGCTAATATCCAGAATCTACAAAGAAACAAATTTACAAGAAAAAAACAACCCCATCAAAAAGTGGGCAAAGGATATGAACAGACACCTCTCAAAGGAAGACATTTATGCAGCCAACAAACATGAAAAAAACTTGTCATCACTGGTCTTTAGAGAAATGTAAATAAAAACCACAGTGAGATACCATCCCACGCCCATTAGAATGGAGAACATTAAAATGTCAGGAAACGGCCGGGAATGGTGGCTCACGCCTGTAATCCTAGCACTTTGGGAGGTTGAGGCAGGCGGATCACCTGAGGTCAGGAGTTCGAGACCAGCCTCGCCAACATGGTGAAACCCTGTCTCTACTAAAAATACAAAAGTTAGCCAGGCATGGTGGCAGGTGCCTGTAATCCTAGCTACTAGGGAGACTGAGGCAGAAGAATCACTTGAACTCGGGAGGCAGAGATTGCAGTGAGTCGAGATTGTGCCATTGCACTCCAGCCTGGGGGACTTCTTCTCCCCCCCAAAAACAATGAAAACAAAAAGGAAACAACCGATGCTGGAGAGGATATGGAGAAATAGGAACACTTTTACACTGTTGGTGGGAGTGTAACTTACTTCAACCACCACTGCGGAAGACAGTATGGTGACTCCTCAAGGATCTAGAACCAGAAATACCATTTGACCCAGCAATTTCATTACTGGGTATATACCCAAAAATTAAAAATTATTCTACTGTAAAAACACATGAGCATGTATGTTTATTGCAGCACTGTTCACAATAACAAAGACTTGGAACCAACCCAAATGCCCATTAATGATAGATTGAATAAAGAAAATGAGGCACATATACACCATGGAGTACTATGCAACCATAAAAATGGATGAGTTCATGTCCTTTGTAGGAACATGGATGAAGCTGGATGCCATCATTTTCAGCAAACTAACACAAAAACAGAAAACCAAACACTGCGGGTTCTCACTCATAAGTGGGAGATGAACAATGAGAATACATGGATACAGAGAGGGGAATATTACATACCAGGGCCTTTCGGGAGGTTGGGGGTTAGGGGAGGGATAGCATTAGGATAAATATGTAATGTAGATGACGAGTTGATGGGTGCAGCCAACCACCATGGCACGTATATACCTATGTAACAAACCTTTACGTTCTGCACATGTACCCCAGAACTTAAAGTATAATCCAAAAAAAGAAAAAGGAAAAAGGAAAGAGGTTTAATTGCCTATCTGTGTTACAGACTTTATAGGAAAATGGTGCCAGCATCTGCTTCTGGTGAGGCCTCAGGAAGTTTTCAATCATGACAGAAGGTGACAAGGAGCCAGTATGTACCATGGCAAGAGCAGGAGTGAGAGACAGAAGGGGGAGATCCCAGACTCTTTAAAACAACCAGATATCAGGTGAACTAACTTAGCTAGATCTCATTTATCACTAAGAGGACGGTGCTAAACAATTTATGAGGTATCCGTCCCCAGGATCTGATCACCTCCCACCGGGCCTCACCTCCAACTTTGGGAATCACATTTCAACATGATACTTGAAGGGGACACATATCCAAACTATATCAGTCTCATATGTGAGGCTTCTTATTTATAGTGTAATGTTCATGCTTTAAAAAAATGTTCCAAAATAACTTTGTCTAAGTTCCATTTAGAGTAGCTATTTTGTGAACAGATGTTTTGTGTTTGACCCCCTACAGTGCACATATATATATATATATATATATATATATATATATATATATATATATATATACACTTTTAATTTGGCTTTACTTTGCTCTACGTTTCCAAAATCGGTTATTTTACATAAAAATATTTTCATATACATATTTGCCTATATGAGATTGCTTTTTCCATAAAACTTGACTTCCTTCAAAGGCTTTCACCTATTTTTAAAAAATCACATTAGGAAACTGACAAATATAGCATGGCTTAAATAACAGTGTAATGGAAAGAAAATTGTTATATTAAATTTTAAAATAAGGATTAAAAGGTCAAGTATTATAGGCCAGGTATAATCTTACAGCACCAAATTTTGGTGCTACTTACTATAAAACCTAGCACAACTTTCTTCCTAAAATAACACAGAAAAAAATTATATTTTTCCAAAACCTGAAATTTAAACAAAACCAGAAATAAAGAGTGACACCATATAAATATACCCCAAATTTGTCATAAAACCATAAAAATAGTCTCACCAACTCTTCACAGAATACTATAACTGAGGATTATACACTTCAGCAAAACTAATATTTAATAACATAAAGATATCTTTGATGTACTAAAGATAAATTACTTTTGTATTAATATCTATCTAGGTGACATTTTATGATACTATAGATGAAATTTTGTAACTTAAAATTATGACAAAATTACTATTGAATGTTTTAATATATGCTCATTTAAATTAACTTTATCCACTTTGTATTTTTTTAAAAATCAGTAAATATATTTTAAAGTTTGGCCTAGAATTTGTTGCTGACCCCTTGGTCTTAGATTAATTTGGAGAAGACTTTATAAATAAGTTATATTTCAAATTCCCCTATAGTATGAGACGTGGAGATGTTAGAAAATCTTAAGTAAACGGCAAGAACAAAAAAATGAGAAATCGAGCTAAAGTATATGTAGTTCACACTAGTTTACACTAGTTTTGATCTGAGGAGAATCTACTTTTCCTAAAGTAAATGATGTTTGAAATCACAGGAATTAATTTGGTATTTATAAAGCAGTAGATCTAGAAAGAAGATGAAATTTAATAACAAAAGAGGGGTTTATGCAAGCAGACCATAGACATAATTTATTGATGACCAACAAAGAAAATTTTAGAGCTATCATGTCATGACATAAACAAAAATTATCTCCATGAAACAATTTCTGTTTACATGGATGGATAAAAATGCCAAAATTAATTTTGCTGTATACTTAAGATTTATGTACTGAATTCATCATATAAAATTTTGATTCATTTTAAAAATAAAAAAAGTAGTGAGTAAAAAAGACAAAAATATAAGAATTCAGGTTGATATATAATGAATAGTAGATATGAAAGAAATATTACATAAAAAACAAAATAGATCAATTTAAAACTAGATTGCAAGGAAGATACAGCAATATGGATACTGCTGAAAATAAAATCCATAATGTAGATCGTAAACATGGAAATTACGGGTAGAAATTGAGATAGAAGATTAGGAAGCCATGGGAAAGAACGCGAAAGAATATTGAACAACATAAATTTATAGTCTCAGCTCTGGAGAACAGAAATATGTAATCAAGATGTGAGCTGTGTAGGTTACTTATGAGTGGGTAAGTGATAGTTTCATGTCTCTTTTCTAGCTTCTGGTAATTTGCTAGCAATCCTTGGTTTTCATTAGCTTCTAGATGCACCACTCCAGTCTCTGCCATTTCCACATGAAGTTCTCCCTGTGTCTTCACACTGTGTTTCCTTAGTGCATGTCTGTACCTGTGTCCAAATTTCCCCGTTTTATGAGGATACCAGTTACATTGGCTCGGGCCCATTCTAATGACCTCATTTTAAGTTGATTACCTCTATAAAGACCCAGTTTTTGAACAAGATCACATACTAAGGCACTGGGGATTAGATACAATTGAACCCATAATATTAAGCAGTAAAAAATCTGGTTCTTTGGGGAGTAAAGTAACAGGGAAGATATAAATAGTTTAATAAACAAAACTATATAATAATTATTTAAAAAATATTGATAAGTGATTCTTAATATATGGGATAATCTCATGTATCACTTACTAAAATTTATATGTACAATTTAACTTATAAGGAAAAATAAAACTTATAAGGAAAATAATTACAACATTTAGAAATATAAAGTGCAAACACATTTATTAGAACTTAAGTCTAACTCAAGATGATGTATAAAATCTAGCAGAGTCATAATCATTACGTAATAATGAAAAAGACATCATGTTTTATCCCTAACAAAAGGCAATAGATTCAGACAGTGACAGGATTAGTTCCTTCCCAGTAGTTTTTCAATTATTTTTATATCTCCATAGCAACTATATGTGCAGTACATTCCTGTCATTGCTACCTCTTAAAGTATTCAGTAATTCACAACTAATTATGAGACATATGTAGTTTTAAATAATGGGCAAGGAACTTCTGACAAAGTTCCCTCAAAACACATACACACTCATTGAATATTTCAATTGTAAATAATCAACCTATTTACACTGCCAAAATAAAAAGAGAAAAACCTTCAATTCTTAAGACTGTTGCATAGTATTAATAGTGAAAACTGAGAAAGTTTTTTACAACAGATGTGACACAAGTTTATGTGTGTATGATCAGTTTCTCAAAGGCAGACACAGAAATCCTAAGTAGAATGTTACCTGAATTCTGCTTTATATTAAGAAATAAAAATGGTGCAATATTAGCAGTTGCATTCATATCAAATGGTTTTAAGATAAAAAAGTAATTGAACCTGCATCACATAGCCTTAAGATTAAAAAATATAAAGTAAAACGTTATCATCTATTTAGATGTTTAAATGACACTTATAAAATTCAATATATGTTGTGAGTAAAATAAGCTTTTTAAATGATAAACCTCATTTATGTAGAATAGTAAAAACCATAATATTAAACAAGACATGTTAGAGACCTTCATATTAATATCAGAAAAAAAGTAACCACAGCACTAGGAAAGAGACGAGGAAGCTAGTTGTCTTTATAAGCAAGCTCATTATATGATCATCTACCTAGAAACCTACAAGATCAACTGAAAAACTAAGATGAATTCTAAGACAGCCTATTAAGTTACCTGGATGCAAAATAAACATACAATGACAAGACTTTTCTGCATGTCACTAATGACCAATTAGAATTCAAATGTCAATTAAAGGATTTCAATAGATTTAGTTGAAAATTGGAATAAACAATAAAAGAAAACTTTAATAAGACTATTTTTCAATGATGAATTTTTATTTCAAACAGCATTTTGATCACTGTCTATTTGATATATTACATAAATAGTTTCAGAAGCTTGGAATTATAAAATATGTTTCTGTAGTATAATACTGGGTAAATTTTGAAAAAATAAAACTTATTTTGAAATTTAAAATATTCTAGAGTAATTATAATATTTTTTCTTATGGAAATGTAACTAAAAATAAATAAAAGCAAGCACAGTGCCAAGATGAATTGGTCAAAAAGCAAGTAAATTTAAAATTAAGATCCCATTAGACACAGGATCAGGAAATATGGCAGAATCCCAACTTCCAGTCAGATTGTTTTGTAGTAATTTAGTAAAACGCCCCAAAATAGCAGGAAAAAATAGCAGATACTTGCATATGTGGGTATGAAACAGGAATTATCCAAAGACGGCTTTTCCTTGGGCTATCTCTGAATCAGCTTATAGTCAGAGATAACATATTAGTGAGCCTTCACCTTCCCACAACAAAAGCACTTACTAGTCCAGGATGATCATATAAACTTGCAAGAGTCCTGGCATCCCCAGAGCAGTTCCTGGAATACAGAAACTGATATTTAAACCTTCACAAGAACTCCAGGGAAGAAATTATCCATGTCTTTTTTTTTTTTGCCTTTTTATTATTTCATAGTAGTTAGTTGAAGTGCTAGTTAAGGGAAAGGTATGAATCTCAAACTAGGAAAATTTGAGAGACATGCTTTTGGATGTATGTATGATATTCAAAGTAGACATACATCTCAGCAGGTATTAACAGAACTCAAAACTCCTTTCTCTGTGGTAGAGTAATGAACTTAGTAGTGAAAACTACAATTATGTCAGTAAGAAATATTCTTTAATAAATTGGAAAAAATGTGTATCATTTATTCTTCCACTTATTTTTTCCCTAAAATTATTTCACAAAATTTGGAAAGAAACATCTTCAAATTAGGTTAATTATTCCCAGGGGAAAAATAAAAAAAATACCTTCCTACAATATAGATTTTTAAAAACATTTCAATATTTTTTGAGGCTGACAATTATGGATTGAAAGTCTGGGATAGTCAGCAAGCAAGGACTTAGCCCACTATCTATTGTGATGAGGAGTGGTGAGAGATGGGCAGTGGGGGCAGAAGGTTGAAGCTGAGGAGATAGATTTAGAATGAGATGAGTAGAAAATGACATTTTGACTAATCTTCATGGAGAGGTGGATTATAAAAGTCAATTTCCATGACTATTTTTTCTTTTCTAAGAAATACTGGAAAAATTTTTCCATGAAATAACAAGATAAATTATAAAGATATAAACTTTTTTGAAATGGGATTAATTTATTAGGTATTTAATTTGGCTTTGGGTTTTAATTGGATAATACAGAATAATCCACTAAAAATATTCTTAACTATTTTAAGTCTTCCTTACTAAGATAAAAGAAGATGTTAATAGATTATCTAAAAAATTTTCAGACTCTCAAGATGGGTGAGTAGATGCAGCCAGGAGGAACACCTGTCACCAAGGGACCAGGACATCAGGGAGACTGGTGTACTTTGTGCAGATCTTTGGAGGGAGGGCATTGAGAGTGGATGGAGGGAAGACACAGATGCTGGGCTGAAGGGAGGAAGCTGGGAATCCTGCACAGGGCTACCGTGCACCAGGACTCATTTTGGGCTCTGAACCACTCCTGAGAAATGGGTGAGTTGAGTACACAGAACTGCTCTTCACTGGAACCTCTGGAATCCTGGCAGCAGGACACTTGAGCTGGCAGTGAGAGCTACTTAGAGAGGTAATAGGGACAGAATTCCAGCTGTTGTGGAGCCCAGAGGGTTTGGTGTAAGAGTGTCTATAGTGGAGCACAGCCAGGAATGCCCATCCCTCAAGGCTTGCCTCAGTCCCCTGGGAGACTTTAGCTTCAAGGGGATTGTCAGACCTGAACAGAACAGGGTGGTCTTGTCTGTGAGATGGAGCTGGTCCAACCTGAGCAACCACTCATCTGCTGGACTCTCTGGAGGCCCAAGCCTTGCCATGCCTGCTTGCAGTGCAACCTTGGATACTCAGCTGGGGTGCCTCCCTAGGGGCCACACCATAGCCCACAATGGCAGATGGTACATGTCGGAGAGCTACAGCAGGGTAGACCCAGCGACACGTACCAGCCTACCCATGCCCTCCCCCAACTGCAGCTTCTCCCCTGCCACTCTGCCGGCACACAGTTGCCCATGGCCACTCCTTACTTATTTTGTCAGTGCATGTGTGCATGGGTGAACCTCACCTAGCTTTCCCTGACAGCAAGCATGTATTCATGCACCCAATCATGCCACTGCTGCCTGCATGTGTACCCCACCTCCAATGCTGCACCACCATTGCCAACATGAAGGCATGACAAGAAGACTAGTGGCCCCACCCCACCCAGTACCACCATTGCCGCTAGTGCATTGGTGCCCATGGATATTATCAACCCTGCACCTACCAGAGCCTCACCCCCACACTGACACTACTGCTGACATGAACCTACCCACAAAGACGAGCATCCTTGCCACCCTGCCCTGCATGGCCACTGCTACCTAAATAAACACATGTACAGAGGGCACCAGCCAGCACTCTGCCTGCCAGCTCTGCTCCTGTGCTGCTACTGCCACTGGTGCAAACACATGCACGGATGGCAGGCCCTCTTCCACCCACCTCATGCCATGCTGCCACTGCTGCGCACACTTGCATAGAAGCCAGCAGCCCTGTGCTGGCACTCCAACACAACTGACAACAGTGTACTCCACAACACTGCCACTGCTGTTGGCAAGTGCAAATCAGCTAGGACCCTGATGCCACTGCCTGCTGAAGTGCTCTGGCTGGCACCATCCATTGGAGTTTGGTGACCAGTGGTGGTCTAGGCACAACTAGGCCCTTCCAGCACAGCAGATTCCTAACTTTGAGGGGCCAGATAACAAAGTTGGAGGCCTGATACCAGCTCCCGATAGTAAAAGCACACAGCCCAGGAGTCCTGAGCTGAGCCTTGGCCCCCTAAAATCTTGCAGAAATGAAGTCAGTCGACTGAAGCCACCTTATACTGCAATCACCCAAGGAGATCAAAGAGAATAAATTTCATAAAAACATCAAAGAGACAGCAACTTCAAAGATTACAGGAACATCAGGCCCATAGATAAGAAAGAACCAGTGCAAGAATACTGGAAACTCTAAAATCCAGGGTGTCTTCTTACCTCCAAATGATCACACTAGTGCCCCAGCAATGGTTCTTAAGCAGACTAAAATGTTTGAAATAACACACATGGAATCAAAATATGGTTACGAATAAAGTTCATTGACACTCAGGAGAAAGTCAAAACCTAATTCAAGGAATCTAAGGATTACAGTAAAAGGATACAGAAGCTGATAGACAAAATGGCTATTATAAGACAGAAACAAAGTGATCTGATAGAGCTGAAAAACATATAAGAATTTGATAATGCAATCGCAAGTATTAACAGAATCGATCAAGCAAGCTGAGAAAAGAATCTCAGAGCTCAAAGACCAGTTCTCTGAAATAATTAGACAAAAATAAAGAAAAACTAGAAAGAATAAAATATCTGAGAAATATGGGATTATGTAAAGAGACCTAATCTATGACCGACTGGCATTCCTGAAAGAGAGGGAGATAACCAAGCAATGTTGTTAACATATTTCAGGATATTGTCCATAAAAGTTTCCTCAACCTCACTAGAGAGGTCAGCATTCAAATTCAGGAAAAGCACTGACTCTCTGCAAAATGCTACACCTGAAGACCATCCCCAAGGCATGTAGTCATCAGATTCTCCAAGGTTGAAATGGAAGAAAAAATGTTAAAGGTAGCTAGAGAGAAGGGGCAGGTCACCTACAAAGGGAACCCCATCAGGCTAACAGCAGACTTGTCAGCAGAAAAACTACAAGCCAGAAGAGATTGGGAGTGTACATTCAGCATTCTTAAAGCTAAGAATTTTCCACCAAAAAAATTATAGCTGGCCAAACTAAGATTCATAAGTAGAAATAAGACCCTTTACAGAAAAGCAGTGTAGAAGGAATTAAATACTACCAGACTTACTTTACAAAAAGTCCTGAAGGGACTCGTAAATATGGAAACAAAAACCATTACAAGCCACTACCAAACCACATGTAATTACCTAGACCAGTGACTCTATAAAGCAACCACACAAACAAGTCTGCATGAAAACAAGGTAACAACATGATGACAGGATTAAATCAGCACATATCAATGCTAACCTTGAATGTAAATGGACTAAATACATCAATGAAAAGGCACAGGATGGCCAATTGAATAGAAATGCAAAACTCAATTCCTATTCCAAGATGGCTGACTAGACAGCCAGGAAGAACATCTCCTACTGTGGAACCAGGACATTGGGAAGACTGGCACATTCCTAGAAGGTCTTCAGAGGGAAGACATTGAGAGCTCTCAACAAAGAAGAAAAGATGGAAGATCCAAATAAACGCAATTAAAAATGACAAAGGGAATGTTACCACTGATCCCACAGAAATACAAATAACCATCAAAGTCTACTATGACCGCTATGACCGCTGTTATACATACAAATTAGAAAATCTAGAAGAAATGGATATTTCTGGGACACATATACCCTCCCAAGACTGAACCAGAAAGAAATAGAATTCCTGGATAGACCAATAATAATCTTTGAAATGGAATTAGTAATAAATAGCCTACCAACCAAAAAAAAAAAAAAAAAAACCAGGACCAGACTTTTACTATCCACCTCTCCAAGAAGATTAGTCAAGTTGTCATTTTCTACTCATCTTATTCTAGAGCTTTCTCACAATCTCAACCTTCTGCCCCCACTGCCAGATGTATGGAGAAGAGCTGACACCATACCTAATGAAATTATTACAAACAATCAAGGTGGAAAGAGTCATCCCTAATTCATTCTATAAGGACAGCATCATCCTTATATCAAAACCTTGCAGAGACATGCAACAAAAAAAGGTAACTTCAGGCCAATACACTTGATGAAAATAATGCAAAAATCCTCAACAAAATAACTAACAAACTAAATCCAGCAGCACATCAAAAAGCTAATCCACCATGATAGAGTACGCTTTATCCCTGAGATATAAGGTTGGTTCAACATATGCAAATCAATAAATGTGATTCATCACATAAAAATAATTAAATACCAATACCACATGACCATGTCAATACACACAGAAAAGGATTTTAATAAATTCAACATGCTTCATGTTAAAAACTTTCAACAAACTAGGTATTGAAGGAACATACCTCAAAATAGTAAGAGCCATCTATGACAAATCCACAGCCAACTGAAAGGTCAAAATCTGGAAGCATTCCCTTGGAAAACTAAAAAAAATGACAAAAATGCCTGCTCTCACCATGCCGGTTCAACATAGTATTGGATGTCCTTGTCAGAGCAAGTAAGCAAGAGAAAGAAATAAAGGACATCCAAATAAGAAGAGAGGAAGTCAAACTATCTCTGTTGGCAGATAACATGATTCTATATCTAGGAAACCTCAAAAGCTCCTTCAGCTGATAAACAACTTCAGCAAAATTTCAGGACACAAGATCAGTGTACAAAATTCAGTAACATTTCTGTACAGCAACAACAGCCAAGCTGAGAACAAAATCAGGAAAGCAATTGCATTCACACTAGCCACACAAAAAATAAAATACCTAGGAATACAGGTAACCAGAGAGGGGAAAGTTCTCTTTAATGAGAAATGTGAATCCTCAAAGAAATCAGAGAAGACGCAAACAAATGGAAAAACCATTCCATGATAATGCATAGGAAGATTCAATATCACTGAAATGATCATACTGTAAAAAGCAATTTACCAATGCAATGCTATTGCTATCAAACTAATGACATTCTTCACAGAACTAGAAAACTCTATTTTAAGATTCATATTGAATGAGCCCAAATAGCCAAGGTAATCCTAAGTAAAATGAGCAAAGCCAGAGGCATCACACTATCTGACTTCAAACTATATTACAGGGCTACAGTAACCAAAACAGCATAATACTGGTACAAAAACAGAAACATAGACCAAAGGGACAGAAAAAAAGCCCAGAAATAAGGCCATACACTTAAAACCACCTGATCTTTGACAAAGCCGACAAAAACAAGCAATGGGGAAAAGACTGCCTATTCAATAAATGGTGTTGTGATAACTGCCTAGCCATATGCAGAAAATTAAAACTGGACTTCTTACTTACACTATTTACTAAGATCAACTGAAGAGGGAATAAAGAATCAAAAAACCCCAAAACTATAAAAACTCTGGAAGACAACCTGGGCAATACTATTCTGGACATAGGAACTGGCAAAGATTTCATAACGAAGATGCCAAAAGCAATTGCAGCCAAAAGCAATTGCAACCAAACAAAAATGGACAAATGAGGTCTAATTAAACTAAAGAGCTTCTGCACAGCAAAGGAAACTATCAACAGAGTAAGCAGAAAATCTACACGATGGGAGAAAATAACAGCAAATTATGCATCCATCAAAGGTCTAATATTCAGAATCTGTAAGGAATGTAAACAAATTTACAAGAAAAAACCGAAAGAACCCCATTAAAAAGTGGGTAAAGGACATAGAGAGAAACTTTTCAAAAGAAGACATACATGCAGCCAAGAAGCATATAAAAAAAAAAGGCCAAGATCTCTGATCAATAGAGAAATGCAAATCAAAACCACAATGAGATGCCATCTCATGTCAGTCAGAAAGGCTGTTAATAAAAAGTCAAAAAATAAGGCTCATGCCTGTAATCCCAGCACTTTGGGAGGCCGAGGCATGCAGATCACGAGGTCAGGAATTTGAGACCAGCCTGGCCAACATGGTGAAACCCTGTCTCTACCAAAAATACAAAAATTAGCCAGGCATGGTGGTGTGTGCCTGTCATCCTAGCTACTCAGGAGGCTGAGGTAGGAGAATCGCTTGAACCCAGGAGGCAGAGGTTGCAGTGAGCCAAGTTGAGCCATTGCACTCCAGCCTGGGTGACAGAGCAAGACTCCGTGTCAAAGAAAAAACAAAAGAAAGAAAAATGGTCCTACATATACACCATAGAATACTAAGCAGCTGTAAAAAAGAATAATATCATGTCCTTTGCAGCAAAATGGATGGAGCTGGAAGCGCTTATTCTAAGCAAACTAACACAGGAAGAGAAAACAAAATACAGCACATTCTCACTTATCAGTAGGATCTGAATATTTAGTACCTATGGACCCAAGAAGGGAACAACAGATGCTTGGGCCTACTTGAGGGTGGAGAGTGGGAGTACGGTGAGGATAGAAAAACTACCTATTGATTACTATGCTTATTGCCTGGGTGACAAAATCTGCACACCAAACCCCTGTGACATGCAATTTACCTATACAACGAACCTGCAGATATACTCCTGAATCTAAAATAAAAATGAAAAAACACTATATTTTAGTGGTAGAGACTCTGTTTTATCTCTTTACCTTTTAACATTTCCTTATGATAAATTGTCTTGAGTGTTTAGAAACATTCATGAATCAGGGAAGGAGAGATCAAGGCATAAAAATATAACTAAAATACTGAATCATAAGGTAGCAAAGAATCTTTTAATTATAAACGATGTATTTCTATGAATAATGATCTTTCCCATTTCTTCTAAAATGATCTCCAAGTTTGATTATAGAGGAATTCAGGTTTTCTCATTTTAGTATTTAAAAATTAATCCACTTTTTAATCTTAAGATATGTTACCAGAAAAGTAAGAGAGTATGGTAGAAAATCACTGAAAATCATTAAAAAGAAAGTGTGATTTCAATATTAACAAAGAAATTTCTAAAGGAAATTCCTATAAATAGAACACCCATCTGGAAAATTTAAAATGTAAACAATCATCTTTATGCAATCTATTAGTTGCCTGAGAAGTGTGAACTTAAATTTGTTTGGAAAATATTTTAAAATAATTGCCATACTAAGTTCAAGAAAGTCTCAGTTTCTCTGTGGTGTTTTCAGTCCCAGCGCAAGGATAGGAAGAAAGGGGAAAAAAAACTTAACAGTTTTGATTCAGTCAGTGTATCTCTAATGTTATTTGCCTTAAAAATAGGTAACAGGTAAAATTTCGTAGCACTCATCTGTTAAAAATTGTTTGGCCACCATTAACAGAGCCACAGTGCTTATAATAGAGGCAGTATACCCTAAGCGTTGAGGGTGTAAACTTTGAAGCCAGATGAAATTGTTGGATTCTAGCTCCAATACTTCTTAGATGTGTGACCTTAGACTCAAACAGTTTGTATTTCAATTTTCTCATCTGAAAACTGAAAAGTAGTAGTAAATAGGGAAGCAGGGAATATTACATGAGTTATTATGAGTAATTTTCTTAGAATGTTGCCTGATACAAAATAATAGCTCGATAAATGTTGGTGGTTGTGGTGTTTCAATTTTTGTTGTTGTTGTTGATAAGGAAAAAATGAATCCCCAGAAAGGTTCAGTAATTTCTGCCAGACCACAACTATAATTCGTGGATTATCCTGGGCAATTCTGGTCTATACTGCCAGGAAAGTCAGTGACACAGGACATGTTGAGAGAACTGAATAAAAATCAAGGATATTTGATTTCTTCCAAAGAAGAAATTTTCTTACCATTTTAAGGGTTAAGTTTGTAGATTAGAGAAAGACAGAATCATGGAAAAGATTCAATTGGCACAAGTTTCCTTGTCAAAATTGTGTTTTAATATCAACAAAGTCTTTGTTATAAGCAGAGAATCTCTGACCTGGAAATCTTTTTGTCTAACTAACTGGCATTTTGGGTTATTTTAGAATGAATACATTTTGAAGTTTTAACATTTGATGTTTCCCTAACAGTCATAATTTAGTTCATCCAAAAAACTTCTGAAGTTCTTAATTTAAATGAGTAAAACTACAAACTAAATATATATAATATATATAATATAATATATATATATATATATATATATATATATATATATATATATATATATAAAATATATATTAGACATAATAGTGCTTCTCTTAGATCCGAACAGGGAGCTGTGAAACAAATATACGGGGTAAATGGATAAAATAAACATATTTTCTCAATTTGAGCAGAATGCTTGTCTCTTCCTGAAAGTTGTCTTGGGCTACTTTGAATAATTTTGGGCTAGTTTCATCCTCTGAAATTATATTTGACTACTTTAAGTCCCCTATTTTTTAGGTGCCTTGAACAAATGAATGAAATAACCCTGCATCCTGCTCATATTCTTATCCTGTATTTCTGTGCTGGACATTTCACAAATCATTATTTTTCTCTCCAAATTTGTGTTGCACATGGCAGATCGTAGAAGTTGAAAGTCAAGACTCATTTGAGATGGATGAATGGTTGGAAACAGAATTCAGATCTTTCTAGTGCACACTCACCACCTTCATCCCCATCCATTCCCCCTAGGTCAAGAATAGTTAATTTAAAGATCCCACCCCCACAAAGTGTCATCACTTCAGAAGATGACACTTCAGTAGAGCTTAATTTCTTCTCATTTCTGTGTTTGTCTTTCTAGTGTTTTCTGTTTCAAACATTTTTCATATGTGACATAACACGGTAAGCACATATATAGCCTCTACTTACAAGAACAAATTAGTATTCCACTCTATTCACTGATAGGGCACGTATATAAATACCACATTTTTATGATTTCTAAATAATTTTAAAGAAAATTGCAGGCATCGTAATTCTTTGCAATGGAATACTACAGCATGCTTCTCCTAAAAATAATGATACCCGCTACATAATTATGATGTCATTTTCAAAGTCTAGTAAATTATCAGAGATAACAATATAACTTGACATGCTGCTCATATTCAACTTCCCCCAATAATTCCAAAAATCCTTTTATAATTTTTAATAAATTAGGATATAATAAAAGTTTACATGGTATACTTAATTATGTTCTTTTAATCTATAATAGTTTCCTTTTTTGTTTTTAATAACATTGCTATTGATCCAGTTACAGTGTATAATTACTAAATTCTGGACTAGAGTAATTGTTCATTCATGTAGATGCTTACTTTGTTCCTTTGTCTTTCTTATTTCTTAAAATACTGTCATCTCTCTATTTATACATCAAAAATCCACATATGATTTTATTATATGAAGTTTCATGCTTACTATATTTTCTGAAATTCTTTGATGATGATGTTATAAAAATATTTACTTGGGGAAAAATGATGTCATATCAATATATTAAATCCCTGCCAGTTATTAAAAGTAATTGATATTTCACCCAAAGCAATTAGATACCATGCACATTTATCACAATTTCAGAACATGTTTTGGGAATCCCTTGTACTGTGATGTTCAAGTATTTTCTCTTAATTTAAAAATTTGTAGACTAGTCTTTAAACAGAAATAGTGCTAGTCTACTTGTGCCTATAAATAGTGAAGACAGTCAAGCCTGCATATCTTCTCAATTAACCTTTGAAATTCTTATTTGATCATTTTATGCCATACTCCAATTCACATAAGGAAAGCTTGGATGTTGAAAAAGATCTGTGATTCAGTACTGGTACATAAGCAGAAAAATTTTTTATCACAGTGAGATCTTATATGTTTAAATCAGGAAAGATCTAGTTTGGCGACATATCAGGAGAAAGCTAGTACAATTTGCTTCCTTGCTATTCAAACGTAAGTGGAGAATAGGGTAAATACATGTAGATACGGCGCCTATGTTTAAATTTAAATTTGAGCATAAAATTGTGGATATTAAAAAAATTATAGAGATAAATTTAAGTTTAATTAGAAGCATATTTACAAAGGTAAGAGAGCTACTCAAAATGTTTTATTTTGACCTTCTGTTATGTGTCATAATTGACAGCTACTGATTTTTAGCAATAAAATTTCTCATCATTTTATGATGCCCTTCTTATTTTGTTTAGTGCACAGATGCAGACTCAAGACTGAAGTCACAAAGACTAAAACACAAAACCAAAACAAAAAAACTTTCAAAACCCTCCAAAGAAGTTAATTAAAATTTTGATTAGATAAATTGCTACTGCCCTCCTTTATAAAATGCATACCATCAATTTTTATTTTTTATCAAACAATAAAGGGCAGAAGTTACACCTATAACTATGATGATGTTTAATAAGCATCATAAAATATGTGTGTTATGTATATATACATACATATATACATATAAATATATATTTTTTAAAGTTTGTCATCCTAGAATTTAATCTCATAAGTTTAATTAGAAGCATATTTACAAAGGTAAGAGAGCTACTTGAGATGTTTTATTTTGATCTTCTGTTATGTGTCATAATTGACAGCTACTGATTTTTAGCATGAAAATTTCTCATTTTATGATGCCCTTCTTATTTTGTTTAGTGCACAGATGCAGACTCAAGACTGAAGTTGCACAGAGTAAAACATAAAACCAAAGCAAAAACCTTATATCTAAGCATTTCAAAACCCTCCAAATAATTTTGATTAGACAAATTGCTATTGCCCTCCTTTATAAATGCATATCATCAATTTTTAATTTTTATCAAACAACAAAGGGCAGAAGTTACACCTATAACTATGATGATCTTTAATAAGCATCATAAAATATGTGTTGTGTGTGTGTATATATACATATGTTTTTTAAATTTTGTAACCCTAGAATTTAATCTCTTCTTAAACAGTTTCATAAAATATGTAGATCATTATAAAATTATTAACAATACATCTTCACCGTTGAATCAAATAGAATTGTTCATCTACAAAGCAACATACTATTTTAATCTCTGGATATGCAAAATTTATTTAAAAATTTATCACTGCCTCTATGCAATATCCTGTACTCACCATTAACTGGGGCATCAAATTGAATACATTATGTCAAACAATAATCATAGAGAAACCTTGTCAAAGGATGTGCACTGTAATTGGCACAAAAGAATATTCAAAGCAACAAAAATATAAACAGAATTATACTAAAATGATAGGCTACCTTACTCTAAGACATCTCTACTACCCACATGGACAATAATCATTAAGAAAGAAATAGGTTGTGAATTCAGGAATACATATAATTTTTGAAAACAATCCAAACCTATGAATATGACTATATAACTCTAACAAACAAGTTTACATCATGCTATGCTTTGTTAAATAACCTTGCATCTGGAGTGTTCTATGAATTGTGAAGACTCTCAGTAACTACTTAAGGCTCAGATAAATTTCAGAAGATAGAAAAAGACTTCAGATAAATTTCTTATATATGAAAAGAAAAACTAAAATATATTTAAAATTATTAGTGTTAGCAAAAGCTATGACATTTGTTCAAATTTTTAGGAATCTAAAATTGAAAAACGAATAATTTTATATTTAATATTGAACTAGTCAATCACTTCATATCTACTTAGGCAATGAAACACTTGAGTTAACAAATTGTCTTGTGAATTTGTAATTATAGATGAATAACAGGGTATTTTATGTGAAATTTTTGAGACTAGATATAGAAGTGGACAATGGCCATATTATATATAAAAATAGAAAGCTGGCCCATAATCTGTAGCGTCAGCCCAGGAAACTAACCCGTTACATAAAGTAGCCAGCCCAGGAAGCTAGCTTATTGTCTCTAAGTCAATCTTGTTAAAAGACCACCAATTCTGGCCGGGCGCAGTGGCTGACGCCTGTAATCCCAGCACTCTGGGAGGCCGAGGCGGGCAGATCACGAGGTCAGGAAATCGAGACCATCCTGGCTAACACGGAGAAACCCCGTCTCTACTAAAAACACAATAAATTAGCCGGGCGTGGTGGCTGGCGCCTGTAGTCCCAGCTACTCGGGAGGCTGAGGCAGGAGAATGGTGTGAACCTGGGAGGTGGAGCTTGCAGTGAGCCGAGATTGCGCCACTGCATTCCAGCCTGGGCGACAGGCGAGACTCCGTCTCAAAAAAAAGCCACCAATTCTAGCAGTAATCCAGGAAGCTAAACAATAACCCTTGTAATAATCAGCCCAAAAAGCTTTGGTTTGATCCATAACTGAAAGTTTTCCTAATTATTGTTTCCACCATCAGTTTAGGACCCACCAGAAAAACCCAAATGTGCACCGTAACCAATCACATAGGATGCCCTATTAAAAAATTAGTCCACCTATACCTTCTTCACACCAACAGCCTCCACCCAGAGTACACCTGAATTCTTCCCTTTTCTTTTTCTATCATATAAACCTTCTCACTCTGCCTTCCTTTGAGCTTCTGTTAATCCCTGCACAGCCTCAGGACACTGCTCCTTGTATCCAGGCCACTCCAGCTCCAGCCTCGGCTCAAAGGGCCCCAGGTACACCTAGGGCCACTGCTCCAGAAGGACAAGCATAAGCCTTGGCAGCTTCCACGTGGTGTTAAGCCTGTGGTCTCATAGAGTGCAAGAGTGAAGGAGACTTGGCAGACTCTGCCTAGATTTCAGAGGCTGTGTGAGAAAGCATGGGTGCCTAGACAGAATCCTGCTGGAGGAGCTGAGCCCTGCAGAAAGGCTCTAAGAAGGTAGTACAGAGGGGAAATGTGGGGTCGGATGCCCCACAGAGTCCCCACTGGGGCACTGCCTAGTGGAACTGTGGGAAAGAGGCCACCATCCTACAGATCCCAGAATGGTAGATCCACTGGCAGCTTTCATCCTGTGCCTGGAGAAGCCACAGGTATTCAACTCCAACCCAAATAGCCATGTGGGTGGCACTCATGGAAACCACTGGAGTGGGGTTGCCCAAGGCCTTGGGAGCTGACAAAAAAAAAAAAAAAAATGCAAGACATGGAGTCAAAGGAGATTATTTTGGAGCTTTAAGATACAATGACTGCCCTGTTGGGTTTCAGACTTCCATGGGGACTTTAGTCCCTGTGTTTTGGTTAATTTCTCCCTTTTGGGACGGGACTGTCTACCTAATGCCTACCTAATGCCTGTATCCCCATTGTATCATAGAAATAAATAACTTATTTTGATTTTACAAGCTCATAGGTAGAAGGAGATGAGTCTCAGATGAGACTTAGGACTTTGGACTTGATGTTGGAACAAATTAGGGCTTTGTGGGACTGTGGAGAAGGCATGATTGTATTTTGCAATATGAGAAGAACATGAGATTTTAGGGGCCAGGAAATGAAAGAATGAGTTTTGATGCTGTCTCCTCTAAATCTTATGTTGAATTGTAATCCTCTCCTATGTTGGAGGTGGGGCCTGGTGGGATGTGATTAGATCATAGGGGCAGATTTCTCATGAATGGTTTAGTGCCGTTCTCTTGGTGTTGTCCTTGACATGAGTGAGTTCTCATGATATCTGTTAGTTTAAAAGTGTGTGATACCTCCTCTTCTCCCTCTCTTGCTCTTGCTCTCAACATGTGACATGCCTATTCCCACTTTACTTTCTGCCATGAGTAAAAACTTGCTGAGGCCTCCTTAGAAGCCAAGTAGATATTGGTGTCATGCATTGTACAGCCTGCAAAACTGTGAGCCAATTAATTATTTTCTTCTTTATAAATTACCCAGTCTCAGTTATTTCTTTATAGCCATGCAAGAATGGCCTAACATACTCTGAATGAATAGACTTTTCTTGTTTTCATTTGGTTGGTCTTCATTTATTTCCACAAGGTAATATGTGCATTTGTTCTGATTTGTGAAAGAATTTATGAGTTATCTACAGGTCTGCTTTACTGAAGGTAAATATGAATTAGTTATTTGGTATATCATGGTTAATCCATGTGGCTATTAATATAATTTACTGGTTTAAATATTTTAAACAAGACTATTACCTTTTAATCTAGGTTTTCTTGAGTACTGGCTGGAGATGGGGCTCTGAGCTAACACAAAGGATTACCTTGTTAAATTAGATTCACATGAATCAGAGACCTTATTAAATATCAGTCTTTGACAATTATCAAAGATAATTATTATCTATCTTTGATAATGATTTCAAGGCTCTCAGCAGTCATGGGACACAGCAGAGCAGGGAGTTATGTGGAACACCCCTGACCACTGAAAGTTGTGTGTCTTCCCAGGTGCTTCTTTCCCATGTTGGACATACATTTCATGTCCCAGAAAAATACATGAAGTCTCTAAACTAAGTTTTGTGGGTCAATTTAACCAGAGGGAAATATTTAAATTTATTAAATCATCCTATTTTATGCCCCAAGGATTTTCACAGCTTATATGACATTGACATTCTCTCTTTCTCTTTTATTTTTTTTTTTTTCTGAGACAGAGTTTCACTCTTGTTGCCCAGGCTGGAGTGCAATGGCGTGATCTCGGCTCACTGCAACCTCCACCTCCCGGGTTCAAGTGATTCTTCTGCCTCAGCCTCCTGAGTAGCTGGGATTACAGGCATGCGCCACCATGCCCGACTAATTGTACATTTAGTAGAGACGGGGTTTTTCCATGTTGGTCAGGCTGGTCTGGAACTCATGACCCCAGATGATCCACCCATCTTGACCTCCTAAAGTGCTGGGATTACAGGCGTAAGCCACCGTGCCTGGCCAATACCTCATAAATCCATAGATTATAGGTTTGTTTGTCATAGTAATTCTAAACTATGGCCATCCTTCTCAAAACATTTTGTATATGAGAAATCTCCTCCTCACAAATATTAGTCTGTTTAACAGGAAGTTAGTTATCAATAAGCTTACAAGGCAATTAGATTGAATTGACTCTTTTTTTTTGTTTCTCTGTGAAAGCACCAACTAGTAATAAGGAGACAGATGAATCACAGGACACTTGCTCTAATTCCTTTCTCCTAAGCTCTTATCCAATCTAGGGCATATTTAAAATAGTTTAAGAGATTTTATTTAAAATGTTTTTGGTTGTTGTTTTGTAATAAAAACACTTGGCTAGGTAAATTTAGTATGTTTTAATAAGTTCAGTAATTTTATCTTTATTGCATATATTGTTTATTTGGGGTTTTTGTCACTCTTTTTAGAATGTCACTCTTTTTAGATAGAGAGAAATCAGCACCCCAAACAAGATGTGGTATTAATTATTGAGTCAATATATTTTAGTACACAAAACCGCCACCTTCTAATTTGCAATAAAAGTAACTTCTAAAAATGCAAATTCATGTCTAACGATTTTTGATCAGCAAATTTGGACTTTAATAATTTAACAATTCTCTCTGTTTTCAACTATATTCTTTGCTTTTCAGGCAAAGAAAAATTTGAAAATGTAAAAGAAGTGTGAAAGTCACACTTTCCCAAATACAATTCCTATTTTTATTAATGTGTTTATTCTAGTTTAAACATAGAGTGTACTCGCTAGCGTGAGATGAAGGGAAAATTCTTTGAAAATACTTTTCATTGACATAGTTACATTTTACTTATATTTTATATTTTTTACTTTATATTTTTTACTTTATATTTTACTTATATTTTATGCACAATGTGAGGATTCCATACACTAAGAATTCTTTAAAATGACTGTTTAACTTCTGACTTTACTTTTATAATTTTGTTGAGAAAATACTGCAAGATACAAAATAGTAGATTAGTAAAATACAATTTTAATCTGACATTGTCTCTTTTATTCTCCTTGTCACTCTTTGAGACATCTTATTTCCTAAAACCCTTTCTGTGTGGTCATTTGTGGACTTATAACTGTGGCCATTTTCTTAGATCTACAAACTATCCTTTATCAACTGCTTAGGACAAATCTTTTACTTCTTTCTGATTGGCAAATTCTAGAATCCTATACTGTTTTCTACTTTGTTCTTTTCTTTTCAATAGATTTATTGAGGTCTAACTGACAAAATTGTTATGGTGTGTGATGTAATTTGATACATATATGTATATACACATATACATATATATAAATGATTGCCATATTTAAGTTAATTAAAACATCTATTTCTTTACCTAGTTACTATTCTGTGTGTGTGTGTGTGTGTGTGTGTGTGTGTTTTATGGTGAGAATATTTAAAATCTTCTCTTAGCAAATTTCAAGTTTACAATGCAGCATTATTAACTATAGTTACCATGCTGTACATTAGATCCTCCCAGAACTTATTGATCTTATAAATGAAATTTGTACCATTTGAAAAATATGTCCCCAGTTTGCGCACCCCCCAGGCCCTAGCAACCCCCAGAACTCTCTGTTTGTATGAGTTTGACTTAGATTCCACATATAAGTGAGAACATAACTCACTTGTCTTTTTATGCCTGACTCATTTCAATTAGCATAATTACTTCCAGATTCATTCATGTCTCATTATTTGGAAGGATTTTCTTTATTTAAATACATCTTCATTATCCATTTATCTGTCCATCGATGGACACACTTAGGTTGTTTCCATGTTTAAGCTATTGTAAATAATGTAATGAACATGGGAGTTCAGAAATCCCTTCAAAATAATGTTTTTCTTTCATATATATGTGTGTGTGTGAGAATGTATATGTATCGTCATTTTATATTCTTGATGTCCTTGTCAAATATTAGCTTACCATTATACATACTTTCACGATAAAAAATACTCACCAAAGAATGTATCTCAATGTTAGTAAAGCCATATATGACAAGCTCAGAGTAACATCATGTTCAACATATATATGTGTGCATATATATGTGTGTGTGTATATGAGATTGCTGGATCATATGGTAGTTCTATTTTAAATTTTTTGAAGAAGCCTCAAACTGTGTTCCATAATGGCTGTACTAACTTATTTTCCCAAGAAGAATATACAAATGTTCCCTTTTCTCTACATCTTCACCAGCACTTGTTACCTGTTGTGTTTTCGATAATAGCCATCCTATCAGGTGTGAGATTATATCTCATTGGTGTTTTCATTTGCATTTCCCGGATAACTTGTGATGTTGAGCACCTTTTCATGTTTCTATTAGCCTATTGTATGATTTCTTTGGAGAAATATCTATTTAGGACATTTGACCATATTTTTAAACAAAATTATTTGTGTTTTTTTGCTGTTGAATTGTATTAGCCTCTCATATATTTTGGATACTAACCCTATATCAGATGTATACCATAGTTGGCAAATTTTTGCCCCATTTAGTAGGTTGTCCTTTCATTATATGGATTTTTATTGCTGTTATTGTGCAGAAACTTTAAAGTTTGATGTAGTTTCACTTATTTTTTTCTTCTGTTGCTTGTGCTTTTATGTTACATCCAAAAAGTCATTGCCAAGACCCATATCACGGAGCTTATTACCTATCTTTACTTTTGGAAGTTTTATGGTTGTAGGTCTTAATATTTAAGCCTTATATTTTGAATTAATTTTTTGTGATTGGCGTAAGAAAATTGTTCAGTTTCATTTTTTTTGCATGTGGACATTCAGTTTTCCTAGTGATATTTATTGACAAGATCATTCTTTCCTCATTGTATATTTTTAATGTCCCTGTCAAATATTAGCTTACCATTATACATACTTTCATGATAAAATCTCTCACCACAGTAGGTATACAAAGAATGTACCTCAACATATTTAAAGCCATATATGACAAGCTCAGAGTAACATCATGTTCAACATGATGTTCAACTCCTAAGACCAGGAGTAAGACAGAGATACTCACTCTTACTACTTCTGTTCAACATAGTGTAGGAAGTCCTATCCATATAAATTAGGCAAGAGAAAGAAATAAACAGCATCCAAACTGTAAAAGAAGTTAAACTGTCTTTCTTCAAAGACAATCTCTTGTAAAGAAATCTTTTATTTGCAACTCTTATATAAATAAAACCCTAACAACTCCTCTAAAAAAACTATTAGAACTAATAAACAAATTCAGTAAAGTTACAGATTACAAAATCAACATACAAAAATTAGGTGCATTTCTACACTCAATACAATAAACTGTCTGAAAAAGAAATTTTTAAAGTGACATGTTTAATAACATCAGAAAGAATAAAATACTTGGGAATAAATTTAACCAAGGAAGTGAAAGTTCTGTACGGTACGCTGAAAGCCATAAAGCATTGACAGAAGTAATTGAAGAAAACGCAAAAGGAAAAAATATCTCATGTCTATAGATTGAAAAAATTAATATTGTTAAAATGTCTATACTAAAATGTCTCTACTAATCAAAGAGACCTACACATTCAGTGCAATCTCTATCAAAATCCTAATGACATTTTTCACAGAAAGAAAAAAAATCTTAAAATTTGTATGGAACCACAAAAGACTGAATAGCTAAAGCAAACTTAAGGGCACAGATGCTTCCATCTTAAGCTTGCCTTAGAATATCTATGGAAGCATCTGTGGAAGTGTCACACTTCCTGATTTCAAACCATATTTCAAAGTTATAGTAATCAAAACCTATAGCACTGGCATAAAAACAGACATATAGACCAATGGAACAGAATATACCCTGTTCTTTTCAAGGAACATTTAGCGAAGTGCTTCATCTTTCTGACCCCGTGATAAGTAACTTATACTTTCTGTTTAGGCTTCTTTCTAGGCAGATATTTTGCCTTTCTGAATTTCTGTAATGTATTTTAAATTACCTAAAAACGTTAAGAGTAGAAATGACTAAATTTTTCTCTTTAAAATTCAACATTGTGATAAGAGAGGACCTCCAAAGTGCCCCAGTCATCAGAAGGAATCTGGACCTAGGACAACACAATCTAAAGCACGTAAGAATTGAAGCCCCCCGGCTTTTTTTCACAAAAGATATTATGGATAGAAAGTCTAATCAAAATCTCTAATCTTGGGAGAAAGTAAAAAAAGGTTCAGAAAGAGTTCACAGGTTATACCATAAAATAGTTTTATAGACTCCAGCCTGAAACTACTGCTCTATGTTGTCAAGGCATTTAGTAAACAATTTGCTCTAGTAGAAACAGATCCTTTATCTTCCTAGTCCAAAGAGATGTGGACATTCCCAGGGAAACTAGAGTATTTCAGATGATCTTTAATTAGCTGCCTCTGCATATCCAAGTTAGTGTCACAGGCAAGATGCCAGTATTAGAGATACAAAGCAATGTCTTTATAACATATGACAGTGAACAACAAAAGTAAAAATGACAGACTGAAAAGAGTAAGTACCTGCATACATAGAAGTAATGGCATAAAATACATTGAACATGACGTTTTGTTTCATTTTTTTAAAGTTAATTTCAAACAGTTTCTTTTTTTATTTTTTTATTATACTTTAAGTTTTAGGGTACATGGGCACAACGTGCAGGTTTGTTACATATGTATACATGTGCCATGTTGGTGTGCTGCACCCATTAACTCGTCATTTAACATTAGTTATATCTCCTAATGCTATCCCTCCCCCTTCCCTCCACCCCACAGCAGGACCCGGTGTGTGATGTTCCCCTTCCTGTGTCCATGTGTTCTCATTGTTCAATTCCCACCTATGAGTAAGAACATGCAGTGTTTGGTTTTTTGTCCTTGCGATAGTTTGCTGAGAATGATGGTTTCCAGCTTCATCCATGTCCCTACAAAGGAGATGAACTCATCATTTTTTATGGCTGCATAGTATTCCATGGTGTATATGTGCCACATTTTCTTAATCCAGTCTATCGTTGTTGGACATTTGGCTTGGTTCCAAGTCTTTGCTATTGTGAATAGTGCCGCAATAAACATACGTGTGCATGTGTCTTTATAGCAGCATGTTTTATAATCCTTTGGGTATATACCCAGTAATGGGATGGTTGGGTCAAATGGTATTTCTAGTTCTGAGGAATCGCCACACTGACTTCCACAATGGTTAAATTAGTTTACAGTCCCACCAACAGTGTAAAAGTGTTCCTATTTCTCCACATCCTCTCCAGCACCTGTTGTTTCCTGACTTTTTAATGATCACTATTCTAACTGGTGTAGATGGTATCTCATTTTGGTTTTGATTTGCATTTCTCTGATGGCCAGTGATGATGAGCATTTTTTCATGTGTCTGTTGGCTGCGTTAATATCTTCTTTTGAGAAGTGTCTGTTCATATCCTTTGCCCACTTTTTGGTGGGGTTGTTTGTTTGTTTTTTTCTTGTAAATTTGTTTGAGTTCATTGTAGATTCTGGATATTAGCCCCTTTTTCAGATGAGTGTATTGCAAAAATTTTCTCCCATTCTGTAGGTTGCCTGTTCACTCTGATGGTAGTTTCTTCTGCTGTGCAGAAGCTCTGTAGTTTAATTAGATCCCATTTGACAATTTTGGCTTTTGTTGCCATTGCTTTTGGTGTTTTAGACATGAAGTCCTTGCCCCTGCCTATGTCCTGAATGGTATTGCCTAGGTTTTCTTCTAGGGTTTTTATGGTTTTACGTCTAACATTTAAGTCTTTAATCCATCTTGAATTAATTTTTGTATAAGATGTAAGGAAGGGATCCAGTTTCAGCTTTCTACATATGGCTAGCCAGTTTTCCCAGCACCATTTACTAAATAGGGAATCCTTTCCCCATTTCTTCTTTTTGTCAGGTTTGTCAAAGATCAGATAGTTGTAGATATGTGGCATTATTTTTGAGGGCTCTGTTCTGTTCCATTGGTCTATATCTCTGTTTTGGTACCAGTACCATGCTGTTTTGGTTACTGTAGCCTTGTAGTATAGTTTGAAGTCAGGTAGCGTGATGCCTCCAGCTTTGTTCTTTTGGCTTAGGATTGACTTGGCAATGCAGGCTCTTTTTTGGTTCCATATGAACTTTAAAGTAGTTTTTTCCAATTCTGTGGAGAAAGTCATTGGTAGCTTGATGGGGATGGCATTGAATCTATAAATTACCTTGGGCAGTATGGCCATTTTCACGATATCGATTCTTCCTACACATGAGCATGGAATGTTCTTCCATTTGTTTTAACCTCTTTTATTTCATTGAGCAGTGGTTTGTAGTTCTCCTTGAAGAGGTCCTTCACGTCCTTTGTAAGTTGGATTCCTAGGTAGTTTATCTCTTTGAAGCAATTGTGAATGGGAGTTCACTCATGATTTGGCTCTCTGTTTGTCTGTTATTTGTGTATAAGAATGCTTGTGATTTTTGCACATTGATTTTGTATCCTGAGACTTTCCTGAAGTTGCCTGTCAGCTTAAGGAGATTTTGGACTGAGACGATGGCAAACAGTTTCTTTTCAGAGTGGTGTTTTGTCCTTTCTTACTTAAAAAAGAGATGTAATTCTGAGTAACAATACAAAGATTTATGACATTTTGCAGTTGTTAATGAAAACTTTATTTTCTACCCAATGAAGAATAATTCTACATAATTACCAATTTTATTGCACAGATGTATTATTACATCAGAAAAAATTAGACACTTTATTGAAATCAAACATATGGGGCTATTTGAATTCTAAGATAAGGAAAAGTTATATATGACAGACAATACTAGAAATGTGACAATATTAGAAATGATTCATTATAGTCACATTTTAATTTTCCCATATTTCAACTTGACTTATGAATAGAGTGCAAGACTGAATGTTGTTACAGAGATAACATTTTCAATAAATCAAAGGTTAAAATGGCAATAAAAATAAACATATGTGCAAGAGTACAATGTAAAGAAGCCCTCTTTAATTATAAGTTTGGAGATGATGCTGTTTGCCTCATGAAAAAAATAGCTATTCATTTATTCGAGAAGTATAAAATCCTTTTAAAGCATGGATAACTATACAGTATGTAAGGTACCATAAATAACTGGCCAATTTTTTTAACCTTCACCTATAGATGATATAGTTATTTTGCATTTTAGTATTTATCCCAAATCATAAGATGCATAAAAATAATGATCAAAAATTTTAAAAAGAAGACATGGTTCTTTTAAACCCAATAATTTATAGTTTCCTTAAGTCCTCTGCTCTGCTCTGAAACTATTGCATTATCATAAATGACAACAGTAAAATTATGTAAATCTTATAAGTAGCTCATTGGTGTCCCTATTTATTTCATGATGTCATAATTGGGATGTGGGTGCATTTAGCAGCTGTAATAGGCAGTACATATATATGTTTAGTGCACTATATTCACTATTATTTCTTTCACTATACATGTCAAATTCAATTATTTCTTTATACCTAGTTTAATTGTTTTTATAAATGGTAAAAATATTGTGTAAAAATAATTTTGAGAGTCTGAGTATGGCTTCCACACATAAGGGACTTTACTGGTACAGATTTACCATAATCTAGAACAGTTCAATTACTTTTTAAAACTGTGTATAATATTTAATTTGACTTGAATTACCAATAACCATACTCTTAAGGTTTAGCAGGACGTTGTTTAATAAGTATATATATTGTATCCCTTTTGATTATTTTAAATCTGTAAAATATTTCTTTTTCTATTTCTTCTCTCCCTCTCAGGTGGGAGAGTTAAATTGTGAAATGTAATTGAAAGTTAGGCATTATATGCTTGGTTTTTAGAACTGATGTCTTGAAAGTGTGGCAACTGTATTTCTATTACTGATCTTGTCTATTTAGTATAGAACCAGTTAGCAGTTGTGTATAAAAAAGCTCTGTTGTACTCTGAGATGAACTCCAGTCTCCTCTTTTGCCTATATATTCAGATATTTGTGCAGATATGTTTGAAGAAAAAGAAAAGAACATCTAAATTAATAAAGAATCAATAGTTTTTTACTGTTTTCAGTGCCTTTGGAGGTAAGTGACCTGTCTGGCACTCCAGGTCAAGTTAAAGAAAGAGAAAAAACAAAAGCTCATTGTTACACTTTATTTTGTTGAATATGTCAAGAATTCAAACTAGAAAAAAAACATTTTCTTAGCTGGGACATGGTGTGTGGAGTGGGGCAGAGGGCTGGTAGGATGTATGACACTGCTGTACCTGGACAAACTACTTGGTCTCCAGGGATTCTGTTTCTGTTAGTGTTTAACATATGGAGAGAATAAAAGCCCCTCTCATGCACAGTTAAGAAGGGTGTCATTTCAACGTGAAGAATAATCCTGTAACCAGAAAAGCTGAGAACTTCAGTAAAGAAGAGATCTGAGAATATCCAATTATTGCTTGGTAGAGAGAGAATGAGAATATAAAAGTCTAAGGCAGTGATTCCCAGATATAGCCACTCATTAGTATCACCTGGAAAGTTTTAACAATAATACCTATGCCCAAGACAAACACCAGACCAATTAAGTGTTATGATTTCTGGGGTGAGTACTGGGAACCAAACTTTTAAAAAGTCTGTTTAAATGATTGCAATAGATAAATAGATTGTAAATGAATAAATAAATAGATTGTAAATAGATACACAAATAGATTGTGTAGATAAAGCTAAAGCCATCTTTGAGACCACTGGACAAAATTTAAATCACACTATTTCAGGAGATAGGGTGTACACATTTGTTGTTAGTAAACTTATTATGACTTACTAGTGAATTCTGTCTGGTTTGCTTTGATGTGTTTTGTTTCTTCAAGTTGTTATTTTTTTAGACACCTGAATGGAAAAGGATATATTTGATGCTGGGTAAGCAAACTTTATATAATATTTTGACTCTCTTGCCCTACTATGGCAATTATATTTAATTGAAGTCAGGAATTTGATGACATCTTTCAGGTATCTTATATTTGAATTTCCCCAAAATTCTTCTTGTTATAGTGCATGGAGTCCAGCAAAATAGTCTACTCAGAATACAATGTAATTTCTGCCACTGAATAATTCAGAACTTCTTTATGGGTATACCATGAAGGGCTTATAGCTATGCTTTAAGGCATTGATTCCCTGAAGACTCTTAGAGACAAAGTAGAGTCTGGGGTGCCTGGAGATCTGTGGCCTGATACCTTTCTCTGTAAACAATTTTATGTAAGTCTCTTTCAAGGACAGCATGATTAGAAAAGTCTGAAAACAAAACTCATGACCAATAGGTAGTAAGCACTATGAGCAACATCCTGCATTTTCTACCCTCCTATACAATTAGCAAGGCCAAACAGGGGCTCTTCAATCTGAACATCTATCTTAGCTGAGGCTACGTAGAGCCCAGCTACCCAATGTGTACAATAGGCCTGATGAGATGCTGGGAGAGTAAAAAAAGTGGACAAGAAGCATGGTGTGCAGGTGAAAGTGAGGAGGTGAAGGAGGTGGCAGTGAGGCAATACAGATTTTTAGCAGGAGCCAATTTTAATTTTACTTCACATGTATTAAATGTGTGTATGTGTATACAGAGATACATAAAAGAAAATGTCCCTCAAGTTTACATCAGTATGGTATAGGAATGTTATCATTTTCTGTGTGACATATAATGAAAAAATATGGAAGTACTAATATATTTTAATTTTGAACATATCAGAAGAACTGTAAATAGCACAAACTGGCATATAGTCAAGGTGATAGGGCTATGGTATGCTTTATAATTCCACATCATATATTTCTAACATTTCATTCTCTCTCTACCACGATGATACAGCCTAGGTTCTTTCCTTTGAGTTTTGGAGCGCCAGAAAACCCAGCGCCTCACAGATTCTTGGTTTTTAAGGGAGATCCAATGTAAAAGGAGCTTATCAACTGAATCTAGGGAGACATAGAATTAACTATTATATGGCAACACATCATATTTACAGACATATTAAACAATATAAGTAAATAAAATTAAGTATATAGTAAATTTGGAAGAATATTCTGGAGTGACTAGATATTTGTAGGCAAGACAATAAGTAACACGACCAGTTTCAATGCCATTTGTGAATTAATTCTCAATGTCACATAATTTTTGCTGGCCAAGTATAGAAAACTTTACTTAACCAACTTGAAGCAGACTAGTAAATAAATGTTAAGTCTTGAAATATTTTTATAATTATCTTTAAAAAACTGTTAAAAAATAAAAAGAACTCCATTCACCTGAATCATTTAATTTAATTCAACAGATATTGAGTATCTATTAAAAGAATAGAACATGGAATGTTCAAAATCCCTGATAATGTAATTTGCTAAACACAGAATGGATTGGATTATATAAGGAGTTACAGGGAAATCACTTGAACCTGGGAGGCAGAAGTTGTAGTGAGCCGTGATCATGCCACTGTACTCCAGCCTGGGTGATAGAGTGAGACTCTGTATCAAAAAAAAAAAAAAAAAAAAAAAAAAAAAAAATTAAAAAAGGTACCTGCAAAGAGACTCACACTTAAGTGAAAATTGTTATTGAACAAAATTCTATAAAGGGCTTTCTCTGAATTTAAATTCCGTGGATATCTTGGCCTAGTAATTCACCAAAATAGAAAAGCACACATTTACTCAAGAAACATCTGTCAGAGTTTATAAGAATAAAATATCAGAATCTACAAGTCTAAACATTATTAAATACAACCTATAATCAATTTAAATATACACATATAAAGCAATATTTGTCATTTTCACAATTATTGAAAAATTTGAAATATGAATAATTGATTTTGTTACAAATAAAACATATTGCTCATGTAAAAATTCTACAAACTGCTTCTGTGCAGAAAAGTCAAACATTGTTCCTGGCCAAAGATTATTTCCAAATGAGAACTGTCCTTTTTTGAACTACTTTAGAACATTCCACATATTTTGCTAACACAAGGAAAAGAATTCTTCCAGTAAGGGATTTTTGATGAGACAGAAACCAGATGTAGGCATTATTTCCCAAACAACATATTTCCTGATTCTTAAAAATATCCATGAATTCTTGATACATAGTAAGCTAGTTGTTTGCACTAACTACCCAAAGAACATTATAAAGTACTTAATAATTTTTGGCTTCGAAAAATATTAACTTACTAACTGTTGCCTACTCATCGTTTTGTTTTCACAACAGAATCTTATACCATGAATATAAGTTACTTGCGCCATGCTCTTTTGCTGGAAAAAGAAAAGATAAAATTAGAGAATGTAAAAATTAGCAGCACTGTCATTCTATTAATGTGGCATTTAAAAATAAAATACAAGGTAAATCTTGAGTATTACTGAAGTTTCAGATGGTAGATTTGATGGTGTATTTTTTTCTGTCTTCATGGGGATTATAAATCTAGTGATCTTTTAATTGCATGTACAGTGGAGCCAGTCAGTTCTCTTCAGATAGCCGGAAAATACCATTATTCACTGATCAAAGATATTTCCTTCTCAGCAAATCTTAACCGCATGTCAGCTATTCAACAATTGATTTCATCAATTAGTTTTCAGTTGAAGAAAAATGTGCAATCCTTGAGCATTAATCATCCAGTTAAAAAAGCTTTTTTAAAATTTCATTTTTAACACTTGATTCTAAATATTATATATATGATTCAGTCATCAAAGGTATTTGGCCTTTTCATGCATTGGATACAATCTTTAATTATTTATAAATATCTAGATTTCAAAATGATTTTCATAATAAATCCTTAAGAAAATACTCATTAAAAAATTATCCCTAAGAATTTTTTGAAAATATTCATCCTGAGCACAATAGAGAGCTTAGAAAATTGTCCATGTAATTAAAAATATTTAAAGCATCTTTTATCTGGAAAATTGAAACTAAAGTACTGTTTGACCCGAATCATCTAGAAAATGACCTTAATTCTTTATTCTTATCTATCTATAGTTGATTATATGATGGGGACAAGTTTACTGTTGCACAGATGAACATGAACGTATTTTGCTATATAGTTTGTTTAAATCTAACAGATAATACCATGATCCTTCTCTTCATATAAGGCAAACACACCTAGAAAAATGCATATAGTGTCCCAAACCAGTATTTAAATTATTATTTTATTTCTGTAAGAGCATGGGCTAGATATGTAGAATAATGATGCTTTATGTAATATAGATATGTACAGATAATATCAATATGCAGCAGATTCAGAAATAAAAGTTCTATGCTTTATGCTTTCTTTTTAAGAGACCATGTACTCAACTATCTTTCTTCAAACATGATTTATATATTTCTGTCACCATTTTAATGCCTCACTGAGTTAACTTCACCTTGATTGACATTATGAAATTAAAGAGGAGTGACACAGAACAGAGAAGGATGGATTAAAAAAAATCTAATCATTTGATCAGATATTTCTTTCAGAATTAAAGTGATAGTTAAACCACTAATTACTCCCTTATAATCTGGAATCTATCTGTCCTAAATATCGGAAATCTGTTCTGGATCATCTTGTTCAATTAAATTCTATAAAAGCAACAAGTTAACACTTGAATATATGCCAGATTCTCTGAATTAGCTGGAGTCTTTGGCCTCAAAGAATAATTGATTGAAAGAGACACAAAATTTCCTAGCTAATTTTAATTTATTTAGCAATTATATCTATGGCACACACCTATGTGGTTTGATAATACTAACTAATTTTGCCTTCAAAATGTTAGCCTTCATAATTAGCGTTACCTGTGAGTATGGTAAGATTATTATAATTTTACAGATAGTTTTGGGTAACTTGTACAAACTTAAAGGACTGGAAACTAGCAGAACTGAAATGTGAACCCAGGTTCCATTGATTCCACAGTCCAGCTCACAGCCATTGCACTCTGCTGCTTCACTGATATGTACCAAACGTGAAACGAACCCTAGGAGCCCATATGGAGTAACTTATTTTTACTTGAATTGCCACACAAGAGGTGAACATTTTCATCCCTGAGGATTCTAGCTTTCTCCCCCTCACTGTAAACACTTAGGAAGATCTTTCATCTTCGTAAGGAGAGTGGAAGATAGAGTAATCATAACAATTGTAAGGGATTATTATCATGAGGCATTTATTTCCAATACGGAAGCTACTTGCTTAAGTGAAGTGTATTCTGGTTGGTATGTAGGCACAAGCCAAATCCTGACTGTGTGTGTCGTGGCCATATTCTATATGATACTAGCTGGCAGTATTGGGTGAGCCTGTACAGATGGTGAGAATTGTGTTCTTCATTTGGCAAAAGAATGAGGCAGAAAGGAGATATAAAGTAGTAAAAAATAAAATACAGCATGTCTGTATAGCATAGATATAATAAAGGTATAGTTGTATCCATCAATGTTACATGCAATCACAGTGTATTTTAATTGCAAAACTAGGAATAGGATTGATGTATCCAGCACTAAAATGCCTCAGGCCCTCCTACAAATCTTTCAACCTCTTTTCCATCTGTAAAACACAAGTTACACTATATAGCTATCTATTTTATATAGATTCTGAGAAAATTAAATGAGACTTCAGGATTAAGATAAGGGTATATATACATCTGATGTGCCTGCTCACAATTGATTTCTATGCTTTTTGACAAAAGACAGACAAGTTTCTTTGCAAATAGTAGAGGGAGTCTGATTTTAGAAGGACTGGATTTCTAAATACAAACAAACATTTAAAGGAAGGAAAAAATATCACAAGGCATGCCAACTGTACATTAATCTGTTCATTGTAGAAGAACTCCAATTTTTTACATGGATATTGTACCCCAAAATGTTGTAATTTATCTTCACTCATAAGTATTGAAAAATTTGTGAGTGAAGTAATTTTTGACTAGAGTGATTCAGACTTACAGAAAATGTCCAAACTTTCCTTTATTTTGGAACCAGAACCACACATGGTGGGCATGTTATTTTGTTGTTTATTTTTTCCTGACCTTGGAATATCCAAGATTCTTGATAACACAAGCCAGGCAAAGTGTCAGTTTTGGTTCCTCATACTGATGCAACTGTGACTACAGACACACACACACACACACACACACACACACACACAATGAGAGAGAGATTTCTACCACCTGCAGAAACTAAAGTTAACAGACAATTATATTGCAAAACTCAAGAAAATTTTCTTTAAAAACAGATTTCCGCCAGGCATGGTGGCTCACACCTGTAATCCCAGCACTTTGGGAGGCCGAGGCAGGCAGATCCCCTGAGGTTAGGAGTTCAAGACCAGTCTGACCAACATGGAGAAACCACGTCTCTACTAAAAGTACAAAATTAGCTGGGCGTGGTGGTGCATGCCTGTAATCCCAGCTACTCGGGAGGCTGAGGCAGGAGAAGCACTTGAACCCAGGAGGCGGAGGTTGCCTTGAGCTGAGATAGCACCATTGTACTCCAGCCTGGGCAATAAGAGTGAAAGTCTCAAAAACAAAAACAAAAACAAAAACAAAAAACAAACAAACAAAAACACTCCCGTTAGTAGGAGGAGAGGAAAATTTTGGTCTTCCCCAATATTTGCTCATGGATGTTTGCTCATCATTTGGTGGTGTATTTAACGAGCCCTGATGAGAAAACCAAAACCAGTTCTATCAGCCAGGGTGCTATCAAGTTTGAACAGAGGGCACAAGCTGTATAAGTGAGGAGAGTTTAATAAAGGGGTTGTTTACAAAAGTGTGTTGGTAGTGTTCTGTAAAACAATAAAAGATGGTGCAGTACCCTAGAGTAAGCACTGTTTGGGAGCCATTATAACCTTTATTCTGAAAGCACAAGCAGAAGGAGGGGTATAGGAACCCAAAAAGTCTGCGAAGTTTCCATAGGAGGAGCTGTGGCTTTAAGTACAAAGATGCACCATTTCACGGGGACCCAGAAGAAGTGAGTCAGGAATAAATGCTTCAATCTCCTTCTTCTGCCACCTTCTGATTTCATGCTGATACTTTCCATTGGCCAAACCAATAGGAAGGCAGAAGAAAAGGAAGCCATTCAGATTATCTTCCTGGGTCATAGAAAAGAGTGAATAAGGCTGCAGAGTGGATCTGGAGTATTGGTGAATGTTTAGTAGCTGCTTTCTATTGCTGCATAGTGTAATTACCATAAATTTAGTGCCTTCAAACAACACATTTATTGTCTCATAGTTCTGCAGTTCGAAAGCCTAGGCAGGCTTGAGTGGGTCCTCTCCTTGCTTAAAGACTTAAAAGGCTAAAATCAAGGTGTCAGCAAAGCTGGATGGAGATTATGGGAAAAGTAAATCTGCTTCTGAAGTTACTCAGATTTTTGGCAGAATTCAGTTGCTTTAGTTTGTACGATGAAGATCCCTATTTCCTCAACTTGTGGCTTCCTTCATCTTCAAGCCAAAAATGGTGGTTATTTTTCAGGCTTCAAATCTCTGATTTTCTATTTTGTCCTGTCTTCTTAGAAAGTCTTGAAATCAGCAACTGTGAGTCACACAACTTTGCTCTTATTTTTCTAGATTATTTTGACTATTCTGTGTCCTTTGGAATTCTATATGAATTTTAGAATAAGATTTTTTATTTCTGCAGGAAAAATAAGATTTTTATAAGGATTGTATTGAATCAGCATGTTACTTTTGGTAGTATTGTCATTAAACAATATTGTCTTCCAATGTCTGAATATGAGCTATCTTTCATTTTATTTGGGTCTTATTTAATTTATTTTAGCATAATTTTCTCATTTCTAGTGTATAAGTCTTGTGCTCCTTGGTTAAATTATTCCAAAGTATTTTTTTCTTTTGATGCTTTGTAAATTAAATTGTTTAATTTACTTTTAGATTGTTTGTTGCTGGTGTATAGAAATGCAATTGATTTTTGAGTGTTGGTGTTGTGTCTTGCAACATTAATGAATTTGTTAGCTCTAAAATTTTATTTTTGTAGATTCTTTAGGATTTTCTAGATATAAGATAATCTGTGGATAGAAATAGTCTTCCTTGTTCCTTGTTGTTTATTTGAATGTTTTTTATTTCTTTTTCTTGCCTAATTGCTCTGGCTGGATTTTCCAGTATTATGTTGAATAGAAGAGGAAAAAGTGGGTGTATTTGTGTTGTTCCTTATTTTGGGGGAAATGTTTTTTTAAGGCATTCACCATTGCATGTGATGTGAACTGTGGGTTTTTTGTATACGACTTTTATCATGTTGAGGAAATTTCCTTGTATTTCTAGTTTATTATGTTTTTATCATAAAAGGGTGCTGGATTTTGCTAAATGCTTTTTCTGTACCACTTGAGATAACTGTATGCATTTCCCCCTCATTCTGTGAATGTGGTGTATTATTTTACTGAATTTATATGTTGAACAACTCTTGCATTCCTGGGATAAATTCCACTTGGCCATGATGTGTAATCCTTTTTTTTTTTTTTATGTTGTTGGGTGTGGTTTGCCAGTATTTTGTTGAGAATTTTTGTATGTATATTCATAAGGAGTAATGGTCTACAGTTTTATTTTCTTGTAGTGTCTTTGTCCAGTTTTGGTGTCAGGATAATGCTGGTGTCACAGAATGAATTAGGAAGTGTTCCCTCTTATTTTTTGGAAGAGTTTGGGAAACATTGGTGTTAATTATCCTTTAAACATTTGGTACAGTTTACCAGTGAAGCTATCTGGTCCTAGATTTCATTTGTCAGTAGGTTTTTGATTACTGATTCAAACTTTTTTCTTATTGTAAGTCTGTTGAAATTTTGTGTGCAGGTGTGTTGTTTTTTTGAGCCAGTTAAAATAATTTGTGTGTTTCTGGCATCTTTTCCAGTCTATCAAGGTTATCTAATTTGTTGACATACAATCATTCTATTGCCTGCCCAAATATGATGATGAATTCTCTAGTGAGTTTCTCATTTCAATTACAGTTGCCCTTTGGTATCTTTGAAGTATTGGTTTCAGGACCCCTGCAGATACCAAAATCTATAATGCTCAAGTCCCTTATATAAAATAGTATAGTATTTGCATATAACCTATATACATTCTCCCATATACTTTAAATTATCTATAGACTATAATCTCTAATTTAATATAAATTTTATTTAAATCATTGTTATAATATTTTATATTTATTTGTTTTTTATTGTTGGGATGTTATTTTCTATTTTTTGAAATATTTTTCATCCACAATTGGTTGTATCTGCAGAGATGTGGAACCCTTGGATATGAAGGGCCAATGGTATTATACTTTTCAGCTCCAGTATTTCTATTTGGTTCCTTTTTTATAATTCTCTTTATTGATACTCTCAGTTTCTCATACTTTATTTTCCTGGTTTCTTTTTGTTCTTTTTCCATGATTTTCTTCAGCTTTTTGAACATATTTCATATGTAAGATAGTTGATTTGAATACTTTAGTCACATATATAGTTAATCATAATTAATCTTATACTTGAAAATCGCGAAGAGAGTAGATCTTAAACGTTGTCATCACACACATACAAAAATTAGATTTTCTTCTTCCTGAGGGTTTGCTGTACTTGACTGTTGAACATTTAGCTTGTATTCTGCCAATGTTTGACTAGGATTTCCTTGAATTTCAGGAGCCTTGAACAACAATGGCAATTATAATAACAACTAAGCCAACTTTTCCAGGCTTTGTGGCTTGGCTCTGGGCTGGGCACTCCTTTAACATTTAGCCAACTCATTTACATTTCTGTCATATCTTTCCCTTCTTACTTGCACTGTGTCTATAGATCAGCCAGTGGTGAAAGCTTAGTTTCTTCTCTCCTGTTTTTCTGAGCCTATACCATGTCCTGGACATGGACTGTGGTTTTCTAAATTCTCCAGTAATTTGATAAAAGTGCTCAAACACTTTTAATGTCCTAATTTCCTAAAGAAACTCTCTCCCCTGCTCTTCCTCCCAGGGATTTGGAGATTTACTCTATGCCTCAATATAATCTTTGGTCTCCAAAAGCAAATGCAGACTTTTGTATGTCTTACCATGTTTTCAAAGCAATTCTCACATAATTCCTGCCTTGAGTGGGTTCTGGAATAGGTGAAACAGAGAGGAGGAACTCATATTAGTTCTTCAGGTTGTCCCCAGCCAGTTTAAAACAAACACAATAATTTGTGAATAAGGTCTGCTTTGCTCCCTTCAGATCCAGGTACTAGGATCACATTAGGAGCAAGAGCTACCATCTTGAAGACTGCTTCCTAGCTCAGGAGTGGACGGGGAAAGCACAGATAAAAATGTCACAAAGATTTTCAATAATTTTTTAATTTGATTTAAAAAATTCAGTGTCCAACACTGAATTATTGTAACCTTTGAATATTATCTACAGTTTTGACAACACTGCTTTTCTTGTTTCTTATTTTGGGGGGGAAAGTTTAAAGCTTTCACCATTGCATGTGATGTGAGCTGTGGGTTTTTCATATATGGTCTTTATCATTTTGAGAAAGTTCCCTTGTATTTCTAATTTATTATGTATTTTTATCATAAAAGGGTATTGGATTTTGCTAAATGCTTTTTTTTTCTGTACCACTTGAGATAATATGCTTTCTCCCTCTTCATTCTATTAATGTGATGTATTATTTTATTGAATTTATATGTTGAACAACTCTTGCATTCCTGGGATAAATCCCACTTGGATTTTATCTAGAGTTTTGATTGTTATCTAAAATGTTGACAAAGTTGGTTCTGTCGATTTCTTTTGTCTTCTTGCTGTTTCTGTGGAATGAAAATGGCAGTTTGAGATTCCCTACTTTGTCATTTGCTGGCATTTATCATTATTATTTTCAGCATCACCTGAGTCAGAAAAATCTCCATGGGACTTTCTGTTCATGGACACCTCCATTTTATTCCTATGCAGTGTCTGTTTCCATCACTACCCAGATTAGACTCCATATCCCATCACTTTTCTACAATATTCTAAATTCTCTTTCTTTACTCCTTTTCTATAATATACTTTTATCCTTATGGCTTTGACAAGTACCTAAGTATGCATGAAACTAGGTAATGGCTTTGTCTTTTCCAAATGTGGACTTCTGGTTCTGGCTGGAATACCACCTTTTTGTTTGGAATTGCTATTAATTCCTGGTCAGTAACCCAAGCAGGGTTTTCAACACTGTTCTGTTATTTTTCTATATTTCTCTAGTCAGTTTGTGTTCTCATTCTCCATCTTTTACATGCTTTTTAACATATTCTCATGTACCTTGTTATCATCAGATTACTTTTCCTTTTTTTACCTCACAGAGAAAACAGATGCTATGAGATTATAAGTCATTAACTTTTGGACATTAAATCCATAAACCAAACTAAATTTGCACTCATCATGTACTTCTTCCTATTAATGACATCACAGAAGTTTTTCTTATCTCATCCATTACTAAATTCCCTACATATGCATCTCTTCTTCTTACAGCATCTTAGTGACTTTGACTCTCGGATATTAATTATCCACTTGATGTATTGAAGCCTGCTTGTTCTAGCTCATAAGAACCAACTGATAATTTTTTTAAAATTTTGAGGGATGGTTCATGTCAAACTGGTCAGTGGAGATACGTCATAGTAGAAATATCTACCCAATGTAAATCATCAAAAAATCATCAAATACTACATATATATGTATATTTATATATATATATATTATTTTAGAGAGCTGAATATTAAACATTTGTCAATACACTATTGCTTATTTTCTACCACTTTATTAAGTTTAATTCCAATTATCATTTTAAAAATGTTGGTTTCCCTCAACTTAAAAAATAGAAATAGAATAGTAGCAAAATTTCATATCTCTTTCAACTACTGTTGTATTTATGCCCTTCCATTTGCAGTCGAGATTCTAAATTAAAATATATTCTTAACTTACAACACCGTATATAACATACTTATGGTGATAAATATTTTTGATTCAATATTATTTGGGCCAATGAGCTAGATATTTTCATTTACTATGGATTAAAATGTAAATTTACTTGGCAATAGGGATTAAAGGCCTTACAGATTCCACTATTCTTTGATTTATTAATGGTACTTTGAGAAATCTGTAATTTAAAAAATCCACATGTAACCAACATTTCACTCACATTATTTTTAATAGCAAAACACTGGAAATAGTATAAAGATCCAACAATAGGCAAATTATTAAATAAAAAATGCTGCATTCATACAACATGTGACTAGATAGACAGTGAGAATGAATTGGTCATAACTTTAGGTACACATTCTAAGAGAGAAAAAAGGACTGGAAGAAAATTTGCTACCATATTAGAAAGAAGAATGAAGGAAAGCCCGAAAGAGGTAAGACAATATGAAATGTATATGAGGGCTGAAATCTCACAGTGATTCTAACACCACAAAGGGATAATGTTATATTCAATTAATATAGCTTTTTTAAGCTGCCTCATGGGTTTCTGTGGGGTGAAAGTAGTATAAGTTACAATGTTACAGGGGAATTAATCAAACTATTATTTTTATTGAATTAACGTTTTGGTTTTTCTTTTAATGCTGCTGTCAACTTGGCTGAGAAAATCACAAAATATTCTATAGCAACGTTTATAATAATATCGATAATTGATGCTAAGCACACTTTTAAAATTAAGTATAAAATCTAAATAATTTGCCAATTGGGACATGATAAAGAAATGAGCTTCTGCTTGGTAACTCAATTTATTTATCTTAGTACTGCATTTGCAATTACTTTTATGTAACTATGTTATTTGTTTTCATTAACTAAAATTAATCAGTAAATATAATATTAGAACTTTCACTAGGAGTATCTCTAAATATATAAAAGAAATGGAAGGGAACTTGATGAAAGCATTGCAAAAAGCATTTAGTATTTTCAGGTTACCCTTGTTCAAGATGACATTCAAATTAATTTATTTTATTACACAGAAGAGGATAACACATTGAAAGACTAATTCAGCAGTTAGCTATTTCCTTTTAACTTATAAATAGTATCATTAACATTACTTAGAAGCTTGTCTCAAATGTTATTCAAGATGCTATACATGTTTCTAACAGCTTAATGAAATGGAGAAGTAGCTACTAATTTTCTTTCCAAAATAGAAAGATAAAATAGAGTATTCCAACTGTCTCACACATATTTATGACTTAATAAATGACTTTCAATATTAGAAAAATATGTTTTGTTTCTAACTCCAAGGATATCTACATCTATCTATCTGTAGACTAGAAAGAGGTATATCGCTATATCTATAAATCTACATATCAATTTCTGTCTATATGAAACTAGCTTCCAAAAATAATATCCTGGATGTATTCTGGATATAATGTGTATTTCAAGTGCCTTGGAAACCAGAATACACATTGAGGCAAAAATCACCCAATATCCATCAATTATTCTTCCTTACTAATAAAATGTAATGTTTTTAAATATAGCAGTGTCCAGTTAAAAAATGGTAATTTCTCAAGCTCCTAAATGTATTTAGGAGCTAATGTAAGTGTAATGTATTAACTCTAAGCGGGTGTAGTTGTGTGAGACTTTAGAAAAACCAGAATGGGCCGGGTGCAGTGGCTAACGCCTATAATCCCAGGACATTGGGAGGCTGAGGCAGGCAGATGATGAGGTCAGGAGACCAAGACCATCCTGGCCAACATGGTGAAACCCCATCTCTACTAAAAATACAAAAATTAGCTGGGCGTGGTGGCACATGCCTGTAATCCCAGCTACCTGGGAGGCTGAGGCAGGAGAATCACTTGAACCCGGGAGGCGGAGCTTGCAGTGAACCAAGATTGAGCCGCTGCACTCCAGCCTGGCGACAGAACATGACTCTATCTCAAAACAAAAACAAAAACAAAAACAAAAATAAAAGAAAGAAAGAAAAAGAAATACCAGAATGATGGAACTGGAAAGAGTGAAAGAGTCTGAGTGCCTGAAGAAGATGGGGCTGCCATTCTCCTCTTGTTTTGTCTATGTGTGGCTATTTTTTACGTGAAAAAAACTATTATATTTAAACAATTTTTTGAGGATCTCTGTTGTTTGTACTTGAATGAAATTTCGAATATATCAAGTCACACTATATAACCTCCAGTTTCTCATTAGACCTTTTATTTAAAGAATGTGCCATTTATGCATTTATAAGTTATTTAGTTAGGTTGTAACTGTCTCTAGCACAGAACAACTGGGCAAAAATGTAAAAAAAATCTTACATTTGAACAGTAGAGTGAAAAAAATATTTGCTGAACTCTATCCTTCTAGTGGTAGCACCTTTTCTTCTTTCTCCCCTCAGCTTTTGAAGATCTGTTCCCTTCTCATTCAAACACCTCCAATTAGAAGGTGCTATCATCTTAAGTGACTCCTGATTAGTCCAGACAGGTAGCAAGAAACCACAACCAGAAGTCTGATTTTTTCCTAAGGTTTATGTTTAATTGGTACTAAGATAAAAGGACATTCTATTAGGTTGGTGCAAAGGGAGTTAAAAATAATGGCAAAAACTTTAATTCCTTTTGCACCAACCTAATAATATTGAAGATTGGAAAACATAGGCTAAGAATAGGTAACGGCTGTGGCTGCAATGTTTAAAGAAAAACTAGAGTACAAAAATGAACAGGCACAGACGGAGAAGCGAAGCCGATAGAGTGACTCATAATCAAAGTCCAAATAGCTTTTGGGTCACAAGAACCAATTGTCCCTATAGGACAATTATTATTTAGGTAAGTTAGTCAATAATTCTCCTCATTGGACTAATTTTGTCTCATTTTAATTTTCAATATTTCACACCAAAAGTTTTGACCTACAATCTGAAAAATGGATATATGTATTTTTATTTAAATAATTCAGTGGTTCTAACACTTGAGCAGCCAAAATATATAGTATTCTGGGATGACTGGCCCATTGATCTTTTATAGCCAGTTTTTACTGACTTATAAGACAAGCTTGAGACCTATATAACCTCAAAATATGAATAAGGGCTATTCATTTCAGACATTTCAATATTTGAAAAAACTTTATGCCTTGTTTGTTATTGGATGAGTATAAATAATGCACAGCCTCTTATTTGAATGAAATAAATATTAAAACTGTCTACTCTGTCAACAAATTTATAATGCAGTAAGAAACAACAAGTCAGTACATCTGAAGAAGGAAAAGAAACCTCAGAATTACCAGGATTTAGACTTTTTTTCTCTTCAATCTCTGTTTCTGACTTCTTTCTGAAAGTTAAAGATTTGGTATGAATAGCATATTGATTACTCTTAAAGTATCAGAGAGTAATTTCTGTTCTTCCAGACTCTGTTTAGGGACTGAAAAAAAGAGTTATCTCTTTGTTCATATGAATAATTTTTCAGAAGCATAATTCCATTAGATCAGAATTTTCAGAATCAAAAATTGGGAGTAGGATGGAAGTTGGGTTACTGTCTCCCTCCAATAGTGCATATGTCATTTCTTTTAATTTTTAATCAATATACTGAATAAAATAAAATCCTTTCATGATGACATATTTTAAGTATTGTTTTGGTATACATATCTTTCCAAAAGCAGCAAAAATTGTGTGGTTTTTAATGTTTTGATAGATGAACAAACTATGTTTAAATTCAATACTTTTAATATTTTTGTTCATATACTGTTATACTTTTATTATAAAAATAAACAGAAATGACATAAAAATATGTATAAAATATAGCAACATAAAGTAAATTTGAATAAGGGAAAGGAATAAAGCATGAATTACATTAAGCAAGTGCACTGGAACCAGAGGATCGCTAGTTCACAGCATTCATGCCATTAGCCTAAATGTGCTTACAAGGAGCAGCTCATATATTTGATCTCAAATTCTTGAATATCCAATACAAAAAAAGGAAAAATGATTCCTTATGAAATTTTTAGTGTCTATATCCATGCTCTCCAGTATACTAGCCACTAACCACATATGACCTCTAGGCACTTAAAATGTGTCTGGTGCAAATTGAAGATTCCTAAGTGTAAAATACACTTTGAATTTTAAAGGCTTAGAATTTTTAAAAATGTATATATCTCAGTAATCATTTTATATGGATATATATTTGAATAATATTTTGAATATATTGGGTTAAATTAAATATATTATTAAATTTATTTCACCTAGTTCTTTTTACTATTCTTAGAGTGACTGCTAAAATATTTAAAATTACATCATCAGCTTGCAATTGTGGCCCTCATTATATTTCTATTAAACAGCACTGGTCTATATAGTAAAACGATTTCATTGCTCTAAGAAAGTACCGTAATTCCTAATACAAGCAGTCCTCTCTTAGTATGATTCCTGATATGCATATACCTCAGTTTCCTTGGTTTATTCAAATAATACTAAACCCCCAACAAAGTAATTCAAATTTTAGTTACTATGGTATTATTGTGAGTTATTATATAAAGTACAAATTTCACTGCTAGCTCTTTATTCCACAAACAGCTATGTAAATAACAGATATACATCATGATCAGTGGTCAGTCACGTCACTTCCTGCACAATCTCTTGGCTAGTGGTTAGTGCACATCTGTTATTCTGTCACACACACGTAGTTCTGTTTTCTCCTTCTCTCTGAGTGATAACCAGTACGGTACTTGACAAATTGGAAAACTGAAAGAAAAAGCAGGCAAGCAAAAATGAAATTACGGTAAATAAATAACAATTGGTACTGGTGGAAGTGAAATTTGAGTCACATGTACATGAGGTCATAAAAGAAATGGCTGACCATGGAAATTTTGGCATTGCTATCACTCAAGAAATCTAGCTGTGTAGTCAGAGGAACTTAGTGAAGGTGGGCTCATAGACATAAATGAGGAAAGTGATTGTGACAAAAAGAATGCAGAGAAGTGATGCTGTCAAAAACTTGACATTAATAAAAATTTCTGAGATTTTACAACATTAAAAGTACAAAGAGAACAAAAATGATGGAAGCCTGTGTAAACTTAGAAAGGAATATGACAACTCACCAAGGGGTACACAAGATACTTGCTCCCTATCCTAAGTTATAAGATGAAGGAAGTCAAGCACTGATCAAACTACTCTTGATAAGTTTTGCAAATAAATAAACCACATGAATTTTCAATGTTTCTAATGTTTTAAACTATCATGTTTAATAAATATTAGTTTTATCATTTTTAATTTCCCTATACATTTATGTCAGAGTAATTTTTTTAATGTTTTGACAAAATTCTAAAGTGTGTAGAACAAAAAACACATTTTCCATAGATCATTAGCAAAGTTTTGCACTGCTCTAACTTGAATAGTTATTTTTACAGAACAACCCACTGAGGCAGAATGAGGACTACCTGTACTTAAAATGGTGATAAATATTTTCCAGGGTTTTTCATGAAAAGGTTATTATTTAATGGAATGACAACATCTTCAATGCTTACCACAAGTCAGTTGCCAGATTTACTGAATTTTTTTTCTTGTAACACTCTAATAGTAAACAGTGGTCAATGGCATCATGGCAGAAGCACAAGTCAGTAGAACAAGGATGCTCACGATCATTCCTCTAAGTTAAATTATAGATTTAAAGAAGGGACTATTGATTATGAAGGTAACCATTTCCATGTGACTTTCAAAAGTGGGGTAGCAGAGAGTTTGGAATTTTATGCTAAGAGAAGTACCTCTATTGGGGATAGTCTACATTAGTTAAATTCAGAGTGCCTTATGTTTTACCAATCAGCAGAATAATATGATTATTAAAATAGCTATTAAATGAGTTAAAAGAGTTTTTTACTTCCAATTATGTGGTCAATTTTAGAATAAGTGCGATGTGGTGCTGAGAAGTATGTATATTCTTTTGATTTGTGGTGGAGAGTTCTGTAGATGTCTATTAGATCCACTTGGTCCAGAGCTGAGTTCAAGTCTTGAAAATCCTTGTTAATTTTCTGTCTCGTTGATCTGTCTAATACTATTACACTTTACAGTGGGATGTTAAAGTCTCCCACTGTTATTGTGTGGGACTCTAAGTCTCTTTGTAGGCCTCTAGGAACTTGTTTTATGAATCTGGGTGCTCCTGTATTGGGTGCATATATATTTAGGATAGTTTGATCTTCTTGTTGCATTGATCCCTTTATAATTATGTAATGCCCTTCTTTGTCTTTTTGGATCTTTGTTGGTATAAAGTCTGCTTTATCAGAGACTACGATCGCAACCCCTGCTTTTTTTTTTTTTTTTTTTTTTTTGCTTTCCATTTGCTTTGTAAATCTTCCTCCATCCCTTTATTTTGAGCCTATGTATGTCTTTGCACATGAGATGGGTCTCCTGAATACAGCACACCAATGGGTCTTGATTCTTTACCCAATTTGCCAGTCTGTGCCTTTTAATAAGGGGAATTAGCCCGTTTACATTTAAGGTTAATATTGTTATGTGTGAATTTGGTCCTGTCATTATGATGCTAACGGGTTGTTTTGCCCGTTAGTTGATGCAGTTTCTTCATAGTGTCAGTGGTCTTTATAATTTGGTATGTTTTTGCAGTGGCTGGTACCAGTTTTTCCTTTCCATATTTAGTGCTTCCTTCATGAGCTCTTGTAAGGCAGGCCTGGAGGTGACAAAAATCTCTCAGCATTTGCTTGTCTATAAAGTATTTTCAGAAATCATAACAAACAGTCTCTCAGACCACAGTGCAATCAAATTAGAATTCAGGATTAAGAAACTCACCGAAAACTGCACAACTACATGGAAACTGAACAAACGACTCCTGAATGACTACTGGGTAAATAATGAAATTAAGGCAGAAAAAAATAGGTTATTTGAAAACAATGAGAACAAAGACAAAAACGTACCAGAATCTCTGGGACACAGCTAAAGCAGCATTTAGAGGGAAATTTATAGCACTGAATGCCCACAAGAGAAAGTGGGAAAGATCTAAAATTGACACCCTAAGATCACAGTTAAAAGAACTACAGAAGCAAGAGCAAACAAATTGAAAAGCTAGCAGAAGACAAGAAATAACTAAGATCAGAGCAGAAATGAAGGTGACAGAGAGAGACAAAAAACCCTTTGAAAAATCTATGAATCCAGGAGCTGGTTTTTTGAAAAGATTAACAAAATAAATAGACTTCTAGCCAGACTAATAAAGAAGAAAAGAGAGAAGAATCAAACAGACACAATAAAAAATGATAAAGGGGAGATCACCACTGATCCCACAGAAATACAAACTACCATCAGAGAATACTATAAACACCTCTATGCAAATAAACTAGAATATCTAGAAGAAATTGATAAATTCCTGGACACATACACCCTCCCAAGACTAAACCAGGAAGAAGTCGAATCCCTGAATAGACCAATAGCAAGTTTTGAAATTGAGACAGTAATTAATAGCTTACAAACCAAAAAAAGTCCAGGACCAGACGGATTCACAGCCAAATCCTACCAGAGGTACAAACAGGGCTGGTACCATTCCTTCTGAAACTATTCCAAACAATCGAAAAAGAAGTACTCCTTTCTATCTCATTTTATGAGGCCAGCATCATCCTGATACCAAAACTTGGCAGAGACACAACAAAAAAAGAAAATTTCAGCCCAATATCCCTGATGAACATTGATGTGAAAATTCTCAATAAAATACTGGCAAACCGAATGCAGCAGCACATCAAAAAGCCTATTCATCACAATCAAGTTGGCTTCATGCCTGGGATGCAAGTGTGGTTCAACATACACAAATCAATAAACATAATCCATCACATAAACAGAACGAATGACAAAAACCACATGATTATCTCAATAGATGCAGAAAAGACCTTCGGCAAAATTCAACACTCCTTCATTCTAAAAACTCTCAATAAACTAAGTATTGATGGAACACATCTCAGAATAAGAAGAGCTATTTATGACAAACCCACAGCCAATATCATACTGAATGGGCAAAAGCTGGAAGCATTTCTTTTGAAAACTGGCACAAGACAAAGATGCCCTCTCTCACCACTCCTATTCAACATAGTATTGGAAGTTCTGGCCAGGGCAATCAGGCAAGAGAAAGAAATAAAGGGTATTCAAATAGGAAGAGAGGAAGTCAAATTGTCTCTGTTTGCAGATGACATGATTGTATATTTAGAAAACCCTATCATCTCAACCTGAAATCTCCTTAAGCTGATAAGCAACTTCAGTGAAGTCTCAGGATATAAAATCAATATGCAAAAATCATAAGCATTCCTATACACCAATAATAGACAAACAGAGAGCCAAATCATGAGTCAACTCCCATTCACAATTGCTACAAAGAGAATAAAATACCTAGGAATCCAAGTTACAAGGGATGTGAAGGACATCTTCAAGATCTATAAACCACTGCCCAAGGAAATAAGAGGACACAAACAAATGGAAAAACATTCCATGCTCATGAATAGGAAGAATCAATATCATGAAAATGGCCATACAGCCCAAAGTAATGTATAGATTCAATGCTATCACCATCAAGATACCATTGACTTTCTTCACAGAATTAGAAAAAACAACTTTAAATTTCATATGTAATCAAAAAAGAGCCCATATAGCCAAGACAATCCTAAGCAAAAAGAACAAAGCCAGAGGCATCATGCTACCTGACTTCAAACTATATTACAAGGCCACAGTAACCAAAACAGCATGGTACTGGTACCAAAACACATATATAGACCAATGGAACAGAACAGAGACCTCAGAAATAATGCCACACATATACAACCATGTGATCTCCGACAAACCTGACAAAACAAGCAATGGGGAAAGGATTCCCTGTTTAATAAATGGTATTGGGAAAACTGGCTAGCCATATGCAGAGAACTGAAACTGGACTCCTTCCTTACACCTTATACAAAAATTAACTCAAGATGGATTAAGACTTAAACTTAATACCTAAAACCATAAAGACCCTAGAAGAAAACCTTGGCAATTCCATTCAGGACAAAGGCACGGGCAAAGCCTTCATGACTAAAACAGCAACAGCAATTGCAACAAAAGCCAGAATTGACAAATGGGATCTAATTAAACTAAGGAGCTTCTGCACAGGAAAAGAAACTCATCAGAGTGAACAGGAAACCTACAGAATGGGAGAAAAATTTTGCCATCTATCCATCTGACAAAGGGCTAATATCCAGAATCTACAAGGAACTTAAATTTACAAGAAAAAAACAACCCCGTCAAAAAGTAAGCAAAGGATATGAACAGACACTTCTCAAAAGAAGACATTTATGCAGCCAACAAACTTATGAAAAAAAGCTTGTTATCACTGGTCATTGGAGAAATGCAATCAAAACCACAATGATATACCATGTTATGCCTGTTAGAGTGGTGATCATTAAAAAGTCAGGAAACAACAGATGTGGGAGAGGATGTGGAGAAATAGGAATGCTTTTACACTGTTGGTGGGAGTGTAAATTAGTTCAACCATTGTGGAAGACAGTGTGGTGATTCCTCGAGGATCTAGAACCAGAAATACCATTTGATCCAGCAATCCCATTATTTGGTATATACCCAAACGATTATAAATCATTCTACTATAAAGACACATGCACGCATATGTTTATTGCAGCACTATTCACAATAGCAAAGACTTGGAACCAACCCAAGTGCCCATCAGTGATAGAGTGGATAAAGAAAATGTTGCACATACACACTATGGAGTACTATTCAGCCATAAAAAAGAATGAGTTCGTGTCCTTTGCAGGCACATGGATGAAGCTTGAAACCATCATTCTCAGCAAACTAACACAGGAACAGAAAACCAAACACTGCATGTTCTCACTCATAAGTGGGAGCTGAACAATGAGAACACATGGACACAAGGAGGGGGACAGTACACACTGGGGCCTGTTGGGGAGTGGTGGGCTAGGGGAGGGATAGCATTAGGAGAAATATCTAATGTAGATGATGGGTTGATGGGTGCAGCAAACCACCATGGCACGTGTATATCTATGTAACAAACTTGCACTTTCTGCACATGTATCCCGGAAGTTAAAGTATACAAAAAAAATATTGATTTTTTTAAAAAAGGTAAATATATTTTGAGAGGCACTGACTTTTCACTTTAGTTTTTCTTTCTTTATTTGAGGTGCTGAGACAAAGTGGGATTCTGTATCAAGATCAAAAAGTAGATGTATGAGCATTGATCCCCTTTGTTTCTTCTTTTTTCTGTCTTTTGAATCCCTGTGAGGATCCCTTAGTTTGGGTAAAACTGAGAACTGTCTAGAGTACTTACTGGTTTCAATCTACCCTTTTCCCATAGATAATTATTATGCCACTGCATATATTAGATCATATCTGAAAGTTATCTGCTTTTATCTTCTCATTAATTCTTCCCTTTATCTTCCCTTATGTTATCTATGGCAAGTTTTCAATTTAAAATATTTTGGCATTGATTTCCTCACAGGGGCAATGTGCAAGAGAGTAGGTTTCATTATTTCTCTTCAGCAAGTAAGGAAAATAAAACCCCAACGAGTTAGATAACTTGCCAACATTTACATATATACTTTTAAACTTTATGTATTTTTCCATATCCCTATGTTTGAAGTCCATGAGGGTATACCTGGGAAGCTTCCAACTATTGGGAGCATATTTGACTAAGAGACTCAGCAGCTGCCTCAGGAGTGCTAAGGAAGGCTCATTCTCAGGAGACATGAAACTCATCAGAATAGCTAACTTTGATTTGAGGACTCCCAGTGGGCTGTGTTTAATCTTCCTTGGAAGGCCCAGCAATCTAGCAGGCTTTCATCCACCTTCCTTTCCCTTTCCTAACCTGGTCACACTTGCATTGCAGGCTGAGATCATTTCCAGCCTTTCCAGCCTCAGATCCATTTTCTTTCTTACAGGATTTTCCACTAATAAAATTAGGTCAGGGAGAGCTATGCTGACTTTCAGTGAGCTATGCTGACTTTCAGTGTACTATGCTGGCTTTTAGAAAGACAGGAAGTTCAGGCAAAGAAACTTGATGCTGGTGATTACAGCTTCCTGTATCAGCAAAATACAACATTTGCAGGAGCTCACAGAGAAGCCATTGCTATTCTAACACACTCTATCTACCCCTGCTAACACTGGTTGGGGAGATAGAACACCCTATCTTCCTATCTTGCAATTTTCAAATTTCTTCAGAGTGCCTGTCGTTGGTGTAACTAAATGAGAACCCTGCAGCCAAAGGGTCCTGGGAAATGAGGGCCAGTCCCTGCCATGTAGGGAAGAGAGTAGAAAGTGGGAGGTTGGTGCTGAGGTACACATGATATATTCAGTGATTGTCACTACCATTGCAAGGAAGAAGTGTTGCTTAAGACAAAGTTTCTTACCTAGCCATTTAACTTACCCAGTTAATTTATTCCTTGCTATTTTTATTGTAGATTTTACATTTTAGATTTGACTAAGGATCAGAAACTGAAATTCCTTAAAATAAGATAAATCAAAAGATCAGCATCACCTCTTGTATTACCCAGATGTTTACTGTGATATTGTAATCTAATATGAAGTACACGTTTGATCTCTGCCCCAAGTTCCTAGACACAGCTTTTATCCTGTCAGGTAACAATTAGCCTTGAGGTGCTACCTCTGATCCTGGGGGTCTTGAGGTTTCACAGTGACTCAATGGCCAATTAAATGTTTGCAAACTCATGGTTTAAGGCTTTCATAAACCAACAATCATGCCGATATATTCAGCACATACAGGCAGATGTGAGGGAGAGGGGGACTGAACCACAGAGAGTAGCTCAAGAGACCAGCATGCTGACCGAAAAACAGGGTGGGTCCACATTTCCCTTGAAACTGACCAACGTGGGTGGAGGGTTGCTACTCTTCTCCCAGCAGAGCTTCCAGGGATGGAAAAGAGACCTGAGAGTTCTCATGGGCAGACCTGCAGGCATCTCAGTCATGGTTAGTTTCTTTGCTGTTTTTATGGTTCTTCACAGGAATGTCCATGGCATTATCTCAGCCGTCTTTTGGCTTCATTTTCTCTTCAGGTTTCAGGAATGCCTGGCCACAACAGGTGTTATGTATTACCTCAGTTCACCATACATATACTTATCATTTTGATGGGTCAGCAGTGTCACTATAGGCTGAGTCATTTGTCATAGTGACTCCAGTTTTAGACATTTAGAATCACAAAACAATATTATATATCAGGTTCTGAAAGCCTTGTAGATCGGGACCCTAGGAGAATCTTTTCTTCTAAATTTTATCTTTGACCTTGGTTCCAGACACAGAGTTTCTAAGGCCTTTGTAATTTCATGAGTGATAGGAGCATCTGACAGAGTTCCTACAACCCTTGGAATTTCTTGGGAGATGGAGTCATTTTTTCTCCTCATGAGGCCACTCTTGCTGGGCTCCTGGAGAGTCTCAGGACGGGGATTGGTTGCAAAGGAAACCAGCCCTGGCGATTAGAAGGCTGGAACTTGCGGTCCCACCCCTGACCACTGGGAAAGGGATGGGTCTGAAGGTTGAGTTGTGTATCAGTGTCCAGTGAGTTAATCAATCATACCTACAAAATGAAGCTTCAATAAAAACCAGGAAGGATACTGTTCGGTAAATTTCCAGACTGCTGAGCATAACATACAGAGGTTCCTGGAGAGTGGCATGCCCAGAGAGGGCATGGGAGCTCTATGCTCCTTCCCACATACTTTGCCTTATGCATCTCTTCCATCTAGTTGTTCATCTGTATCTTTTATAAGATCCATTATAATAAATGGGTACATGTAAGTAATGTGTTTCCCTGCGTTCTGTGAGCCCCTCTAGCAAATTAATCAAATTTCGGGGTTGATGGTTCATGGAAACCCTGATATATAACTGGTTGGCCACAACCTGGGGTTTTGCACTTGAATTTGGGGCTGTTTCATGGGACTGAACGCTTAACTTCTGGGATCTGACATTATCTTTAAGTTGAAAGTGTGAAAATTAAGTTGAATTATAAGAATTTCAACTGGCATCTGCTGGAGAATTGGTTAGGGTGTGGGGGAAAAAACCCACACATCTGGCATCAGAAGTATTTTTTTCTGATACAATTATCTTTCAATTATTCATATACATTGTTTTCTAGCTCTCATATGCTCTACTAGTGACTATTTTGCTACGATGTAGAAGTATGTAGGGTTCGAGAGAGCAGAAAGTGTATCTCCTTTGTCAATTTCAAATCAAGAGATCTTTATTTTTCTAACTCATTTTTGTATTTTTGTAACCTTTTCCTGCATATGAAATGGTGGTAATGAATACTTAAATATTTAATCTCCTACTGAAAGCTTAGTTAACTTCTTCAAGGAGAAAAAATGTGAATGTGGTCTTTACCTTTAAAGCCAAGATATTTTGCGTTTTCTCTTTTTATAAAATAATCAGTATGACTCTCCCATTGAAAGATGCATTTAATTATTGAACATGTACCACCTTTAAGTAATTTGTTATTCAAGGCTTTGGAAATGTAGTGGTGAATAAGACAAAAATGTCCCATGCTCTTAAACAACTTTCATTTCTAGAGGCAAGAATCATCAATAAAGGTTTAAATTGATTAAATAAAAAAAGAAATATGATTATGGACAACAGTAAAATCTATGAATAAATTAAAGTAATGCAATATTAAAAGGAGAATAACTAGATATGGGAACAACAACATTAGGAATGCCTAGCTCAGGAGTTGCATTAATTTGGGAGCTGAAAGAATAAATTTCCAGCTACTAGGAGCGGAACATTCTAGGCAAAAGAAGCAGCAAATGCAAACATCTTAATACAAATGTCCTGACAGAGCAGAGCATGACCTGTTTGAGGAATACGAAAGATCATTATGGCTGTATCTTAAGGAAAAAGGGAAAGTTAAGAGAGTTAACGAAACATGAATTTGGAAAAACAATCCAGAATCTGTGGGGTTCTGTAGCCATATTGAATTTGTGAATTTGAATTTTATTCAAAGAGAAAGTATATATCATTATACCAATAAAACACAAAGTTACATGCTCTGCTTTCCATTTTTAAATAATGGTACTAAAATAGTCAACCATACTTTTTTTATCAAGTTTTTATTCGACATAATTGTTATCTTGAAAGACATTAATTTGGCATTATCCTTAAGGTAATATAAGGAGCATTTTACAATGGGTTTTCATTGTGTTATTTTTTACTAATGCATACAATACTTTTACACATAAGTATGTTAAATATCTGACAGTTTATTATATACATATATTTCCACAGCAGTGTGCCCAAATTAGAAAACTGTAATAACAAAGAGAGTTTAGCAGCTACTTTCAAACTGCTTAAATATTAAAGATTTATTGATTCTTCATTCTATAAGTCTCTAAAGATAATCAGATTGAGAAGAGTCCTGTGTGATTAATCTTGGTAAGGAAAAATTGCGAAGTAATAATAGAGAAAAAAGAAAATGTAATAGTGGTGAAGGAAGGGAGTAAGTATTATGTGAAGAAATGTATCAGATAACATTACAGAATTCAAAGCCAGAAATAGTATTTGCTTGCAGGAGCTTTCTGTTTAGAGAGAGGACTGTCACCTTTATTTTCAACCTGACAATTCTCATAATGAAAGGGCCAGTTCTTCTCACACAATGAACCACAGCCTAGAGTATGAGGAACTCTACCAAAAGCCTCTGTGCCAGTAATTAGAGCAAAGGACTACAGGTCATGAACGTTGGTTTCTGTCCCCTACTGGAGCAGCACTCCCCTCTCAACATCAAGCAGGACAATCCATCTTTCCGTACTTATGTCCACTCAGCAATACAGCTTCTGTAATGAAAGTACTGCTTTTTAACACATTGTACAGAAGAAATATTTAGCACATAAAATTCTTTGAGCTCCTATAGGGGAAGGTAAATGACAAAAAATACCAAATCAGAAAATTGTATCCTTTTTTCCAGACTCGTGTTTAAGAAACAAGACTGACAGGCAGACATCTGTGAGGCTGTGACTTCAGAAGCACTTTCTGCCTCAGCTGAATACAGCTTCCATTTAATGGCTTTATTTACTCACCTCCTTTTTCTATACTCTTTTAGAAGGATGATTCAATTCAATCAGTCGGAATTGTTGAGAATCTACTTTGTTTAAGGCATTTTGTTTTCAACACTGAGTTTTGTAGAGTCAAAGTTACATACTATGATTTTGTGAGTGTGTGAGTGTCAGTATATTTATTATCAAGGTAATTCATTTACTAAGTTATTTTCTCTTCTATAATAACTTTTTTTCTCTTCTACAGCCATTTTCTTTTAAAAAAACAGGTGAAATATTACATAATAGAGGTATTTTTTATTAGAAATAGTACATAGCTTATACAAATTTCATTTTGATTTCAAACAAGAATAAAATTCTACTTGAATAGTTTTATTTTCTTTCAAAATAATGATTATGCAGATGGCATAAGCTACCTTTACTACTTAGCATTTTATTTAACATAAATGCAAATTATTATTTTTTTCAAATGTGTAATGGCCCCATTCCAGTAGCATGTTTTAACTCATTGAACACCAACAAGATAAACAGAGTTAATTTACCATTGATTATAATAACAGAGAAAACATATATACAATTGAATAGAAATCTCAAATAATGAAAGCATTTTTCACTGAAAACCCAACTTAAAATCCTTACACTGTTTATAGAGCCTGAATATCTATATCATGATCTTGCACTTTTATTTTTCCATATTTAAACAGCTTCTTTTTCTGCCTTTGAGATATAATTGCTCAGACGTAATATTTAAATTTCTATGTCAATCTAGCTTCTTCCTTTAAGATATACATAATAATGCTTGCCATGAGTCTTTCCTAAGCCATATAGAGTGTTTCCTCATAAGAAAGGATTAAGGTTATGCTTCTCTTTGGAGATTATAGAGATTCCTATAAATTTTTACCCTGTACCATACTCCAAGTTGGCTTCTGATTCCATGTTTCTAACAAAATTATGCTTGCTAAATATGCCTGTGGCCTCTATGTTATGGAAATAGTTCAGTCTTCATCTAGAGGCTACATAGTCCAGCCCACCAATGAGGCGTGCTGGGAGAAGTATGCTCAGCCACATATACATGGGATTGATGTCATTCCAAATCCTCTGAATACAATCACTCCACTCGGGAGGAAGTGCCTGCTTTCCAAAATATTAAATGCTTAAATAATGGGAATCATCATCAGTCACCCAGGTCTCAAAGGTCATATGATTTGGCACTACATGCTCATGACATCCCATAATCTCTTCCCTCCCAACTTATTCAGACACTCACTTTGGGCTTCTTACATGTATTTTGTCTTGGGGTGAAATTTATATATAAACCTATAGAGTCCACCGCATCATCCAGTTGTTTCTTCAGATAAGAACAAGTAACTCTATTTCAGGATGGTTTTTTTTTCCCAAAAAATCTTGAAAGATAGTTGGAATTCACTTAAAATACACAACTTCTAAAAATTGACAGGAGTTATTACAGCAATAGGAGAAAATTAATTTAAACAATAAAAACTTTTGATGGCTAGCATTAGTGTTTGAGATCTATCTCAAAAGATGAATCAGACTGAGCTTAAAAGCGTCTCATAAAATGGTGAATTGAAAGGCACAATCTCGAGGAAAACATTGACAACATTTTAATGATGGCTTTAAAAGGAAGCACAACAAATTATTTCTTACCAAAACTCAGGATTCTTGTTTGCACATATCTCACATAGAAGCAGGATTCCAAGAATTTATTGTGTGTGTATGTAAAACACAGAAATATTATTTAATTTTTTTAATTATGGAAAATATGGTTGTCAAACTTTAAATGACAAATATTATACAGGTGTCATTAAAAGCACTGCAGAAGCAAAGTGGAAGGAAAATTCTTTTATTGCACCTGCATTGGATTACTTTTAAATGCCGTTTGTCATTTAATTGATTTATGAAGGATAAGTATGGTATGTTAATGGGGGGCTGTTCAGCATGGCACAGTAAGGTTATTTTTGATGCTATGCCCTCTTACACAGATTCAAAGGAAACTTAGATAGAATTTATGGGGAAATCAAGAAGACATAGCTGGGCTCAAAACCAAGATTAACATCTCCAGAGATCATTAATGGAAAAGAGACACAAAGCAGTGGGTAATGTTGAAGCCACACCCAGCAGGTAATGAGGCTAAAGTGTTACAGGTCAAGCTGGATGTCGGGCTGAACTTGTCGCTTGTATCCAGAGCTAAGATAGACTCCCCAGATGTATAACAGAAGAAAAAATGATAAAGTGATGTTTTTCACTGGGAGCCCTGAATCTACAGCTTTATAGGAAGCAGTGAACCTTGGAAAGTGAAAGATAAAGACACACTTCTTGTGATGAGGAACAAAATCAAGCTACTATCTGGCTCAGTAAATTAACCTATGATTTCTTCAATCAAACAACAAAGAAGGGACTTTGAAATACCATTATAAGGAATGGTTATGGAGAGGGGAATTTCAACACTGAATATAGGTAACTATAAAGTTACTAGATAATGATAAGTGAACAGAGAGGAAGAAAGTAAGGCAGGTGAGAGTGAGGGGGAGAGAGAGAGAGCAAAAACCTTATTACTCAAAATGAGCTTGCACACCAAGATTCAAAAATAAGTTTAAGAATATTAAAAAAATTAAATTTCAAAATAGAAGAACTCAACAAAATCAACACTCTGAACTTAAATTTACTCCCAATTAAATTAATTGTATGAGACACTATGTAAAACAATAAGTAATGTACTTAAAATGTTCATATCTGAAGAAAACTCTGTGAGTTCATATATATCAATAAAAGTAAGAAAGGTAATAAAAATAGAGCTGTCAGTCACAGTTGAAGAATTAATAAATTAGAAATTGATATTGAGTGAGCTTCAAAAGAACAGATAGACAATAATGCAGGAAAACAATATATGAAAAAAATGAGAAGTTCAACAAAGAGATGGACACAATATAAAAGAAACCAAACAGAAATTTTGGAGCTGAAGGACATGACTGAATTGAAACAGTTTATAGGGGTTAAACAATAGACTCAATGAAGCAGAAGAGTCAGCAAGATCAAAGACAGGTCACTGAAAAATTATCTAATCAGAGGGATGACAAGAAAAATAATAAAAACAAGTGAAAAATATCTACATGACTTATGAGACACCATCAAGTGAGCCAATATACATGTTATTAGAATTGTAGAAGAAACAGAGGAAAACAAAGATTAGGAAGTTTAATGAAAGAAATAATGACAGAAAAGTTCCCAAATCTGGAGAGAGAAATAAACATTCAGATCCATGAAGCCTAAAGAACCCCAGAGAGAATAAACATGAAGAAATCTTCAAGTAAACACATTACAACCAAATTCTCAAAAGCCAAAGGCAGAGAGATAATAATTTTGGAGGAAGCAAGAAAAATGTGCCTTGCTACATAAAAGAAGCTGCCAGGAAAGAGTGAGATAATATATGCAAATATATACTCAAAGAGGAATGAATACTAACTTAAAACCTGCAGACAAAAATCCTTAACTAAACTACATGTTATTAAGTAAAACTCCACAAGAAGCTGTATTATTGGTGAAGACTTCGGAACCCAGCCACAAAGGGTTAGGAAGAGGACAAAATAGTTTGTTTTTCCATATAATGAAATAAGAGAAAATGTAATAATTCATGGACTGATGAAGAGAAATAAGACAGTACCAGTATAGAGAGAAGTGGTTGAGCAAATATATAAAAAGTTGAGAGAGGGAAATCAGGAAGCGGCAACATTTTTGGACTAGAAAATGAGGCTAGAGGTAGAGTGAGAATTTTCTCGTAGTGGGTATATGAATATACTCTTTTGAATGTATAGATTTTAAGGAATTTCACATTTCCTGGCTGGCTATCCTTCCACCCATTCTCCCTTTCCCTCAGTTCCCATTGCCTTTACTCTACACTGAATAACTGTCTCCAAAAGCTTGCTTTTTTTTTTCTCTCAATACTGCTTTAAGACAGTGGTTTTAAAACATTTCTTTGAAGAGCCCTAGGAATTCTATTCAGGGCTGTAAATGGTGAGTATATGTGGTAAAAGAGATAGATGGTGAGCACCACACCATTTTGCCAGAGCAAGTCTGCTTCTATCATTTTATTTGTTTATGCTTCTGGGCATAATTTTTTTTAAGTAAAAAAATAAAGTTAGTGAAAAATGTGTTGGCAAATCCTTAGGTTCTTGGTTGTAATATTAGAAAAACTGTATCAACATGCTTTGCTATAAAAGAAATCTGTCTATTTTATATCTTGCTGGAACCCATACAGAAAAAATGAAAACCCACATTTTAAAATGTGAGTATAAAGGTTATAAGTAAGTTGCCAAAAGCAAGTATCAGGCCTGAAGGTTAATATAGAATTTGTATTTCTTGCTAGCTTCTCAGTTTTGATTCAACTAATAGAAGGCTAAATAAATAACACATTAAGTCCTATATAGCATTTAATAAACCCTCATTCCACCCAAAACCCATACTGAAATAGTATTTGTTTTTTGGTACCAATAGAATAGTGATAATTAATATTGTTTTAAGCATATTTAAAATGATGTAATCCTTTTTATTTTATTCCCGTATATAAATTTGAAGATTCCATCAGGGCAAACTATCTGTTTCAGGGATGTTCTCCATGATTATAGCTTTGCATTTAGTAAAAGGAGCTTGAAATTTTTAATACATCATAAGAGAGTGGTATATTCTGTTGACTTTTCTAGTGACATATTCAAGATGCCAAAAGAGAAGGACTGTTTTTAGATTAAAAGGATTATAGTCTCATTGTGTTCTAGGCTAGTCAAACACTACTGAAATATTTTTATTTTGATGACATAACTTAAAAATATTGCCAAAGTGGTACAGGATCAGAGATTTCCAAGTTTATAAAGGAACTGAGTTCGACAAAATTTGATGTCATCTGATAGGCAGTTAATAGGTTTCTGTGGAGAGTTTAGTGAAGAGAAGCCTTGAAAGTTGGTAGTAGAAATTTTAGTTTTCTTCAGTCAAAATAGAAGATTAGAAGATAACTGTACCTTATTAGCCAGAGAGCAAAAGTAAGACTTAGAAGTTATAATGAAGGAAATTATATAAACAGAAACCAAAATTATGAATGTATACATGTTAAAAAATAGAATGTGGTCCCTTCTGAAGTCCTATATTTTTTTTAGCACCTCTCACCCACACAGTACAAGATTTGGGATTGCATTTGTCCAAATGTTAAAGAGATATCCTTTGGATTATTTTTAGATAAATTCAAGGTTTTTTCTAACTCTCAGTTTATAAAAAAGGCCACTATCATCCTTTGAGAGATACTCTTTGAATATTTTAGGTCTTTTTACATCTCAAGTATTTAAAGGGCCTCTGCTGTGTTTCAAGAATTAAGTAAACATTTTATGTACATTATCTCATGTCATGGCATTCATTTGTTAATTCATTGAACAAATATTTCTTGAACATTATTTATCTGATAACTATGCTAGGCACTAAGCTGAGATTTTGTGTCACGTATCTGAAAAAGATTTACCAGGGAAAAGGAATGCTGGACTAAGGAAGAGTAAAATAGACGAAGGCTAAGTCTGCATAGCACACACAGGAGTACATACTCCAGGTAGTTTTTTCTTTAGGCAGCTGGAACTTGATCTCACTGGGTGCTTTTGAAAATACACTTTGGAGTCACTTGTCTAAGAGACAGAAGAGGGAAGACTTAATTTGCTTCCATATGGCCTTATGTTCCACTGGTCAAGATGTCCTCCATGACACATTTACCATCATGCATATCCTGTTTTCATAAGGACATGGGAAGTTTTCATAAGCATTTTAGCCATAGAGCAGAGAAGCCATAGAGCAGAAAGCGAGAGCTTTTACAGTGCAGCTGATGGGAGGTGCTGTCAGGTACAACTTCCATGAAGCTGGCTGCTATGGCCATGGGCTGGATAAAATGCTGCTCAAGATTAGGCACTGGCTTGAGGGAATGTTTTGGCTGGTTTCAACTTTTATTCAGACAACTCAGACATTCTCCAATCATCAGTAAGAATGGATATGGTCTGACTCTGTGTCCCCACCCAAATCTCATGCCGAATTGTAATTCCGAGTGTTGGAGGAGAGGCCTGGTGGGAGTGGACTTCCCCCTTGCTGTTCTCCTGATAGAGTTTTCATGAGATATGATTGTTTGAAAATGTGTGGCACCTCCCCACCAGCTCTCTCTCCTGTTGGGCATATGAATACATGCCTGCCTCCCCTTTGCCTTCCACCATGATTGTAATTTTCCTGAGGCCTCCCCAGAGAAAGAAGCCTGCATAGCCCACAGAACCATGAGCTGATTAAGCCTCTTTTCTTTATAAATTACCCAGTTTCAGGTATGTCTTTACAGCATTATGAGAACAGACTAATACAAAGCTGTTCTGCTTTCTTATCACATATGTACTCACCAGGGTAGCACTTTTATTTTCATTCAAAAACTTTTCTATTACATTCACAGCTTGGCCAACTGTTTGGTGCAAGAGGACTACCTTTTGGCCTGTCTCAGCTTTTGACATGTCTTTTTCATTAAGTTTAATCATTTTTAGCTTTTACAGTGAGAGATGTAGTATTCTACCTTTCATTTGAAAATTTAGAGGTTATTGTAGGGTTATTACTTGGCCTACTTTTGGGATTGTTGTGTCTTAGGTAACAGAGAGGTCTACAGGGAGGGAGAGAAATGGGGCAATGGGTGGTGAGTGAGGCAGTCAAAACAGGCACAATGTTTATTGACTAAGTTTTCTGTCTTATATAAATGAGGTCTGTGGTATCAAAAAACAATTAAAATAACAACATCAAAGATCACTTATCATGGATCACTATAACAGATGTAATAGTGGTAAAGTTTGAAATATTGGTAGATTAGCAAAATGTGACATAGAGACAAGGAGTGAGAACATCTTGTTGGAAAAATGGCACAAATTAAGGCCGGGCACAGTGGCTCATGCCTGTAATCCTAGCACAATGGGAGGCTGAGGCGGGTCGATTTTTGAGGCCAGAGGTTTGAGACCAGCCTGGGCAACATGACAAAATACTTTATCTGCTAAAAATACAAAAATATTAATAGCCAGGTGTTGTGGCACACACCTGTGGTCCAAGCTACTCAGGAGGCTGAGGCACAAGAATTGTTTGAGCCTGGGAGACAGAGGTTGCAGTGAGTTGAGATGGCTCTGCTGCACTCCAGCCTGGGTGACAGAGTGAGACCTTGTCTCAAAAAAAAAAAAAAAAAAAAATGGCACTGATAGACTTGCTTGATTCAGGGTTGCCACAGTCCTTTAGTTTGTAAAAAACACAACATCTGAAAAGCAATGTAAGGTGAAGCAAAATAAAATGAGATATGCCTGTACTATAAATTGCTAGAAAGAAAATAAAAGATGATTTGACATTATAGATTTAATATGGATCAGCTTTTTAGCTATCTTGACAGAAAATAGATATTTTTACAGACATAAGCACAACCAGAAATTTCCACTCCTCCTTCTGCACCATTGGAATGTTATATTTTCAAATGTGACACTTAAAATATAAATAAACTTTGTCTTTGTTCCATGTTGGTTGAAGAAGAGTTTAGAGATATCTTGATAAAATGTGAATACTGAGGTAAAGATGTATACCCATTTATCTTTTTTGTAGTTTGAAATAGGACTGTTCTGTTTGGCTGGCATACTACTTAATTTTTAATTGAATGCAAATGCTTTTTGGCTGGCTGTGAACTCCCTAGTTTTCCTTAGTGCTCACCATTCCCAATATTGCCAAGGCTACTTCATGTATAAACACCTTGCCTTGTCTCTGGAAGCATCTGAGCTTGATAGCCTTGATACAGAGATCAAATCACGTGGAACACTTAGTTAGATCTGGACTGTGGAAGGAGAAGTGGCTGGAACCCAAAGTCATCACAGAGGTGCTTGAGCTAGAGATGACAGCACAAAAACAGAAATTATGTTCAGATGTTAACAGCAGAGGAAACCATAGTCTGATAAGAGCTCAGGCAATTTGGTGCTGGTTCTGGTAACTGATGGCTTTTAGAGCTTCATACAGGAGATCTTGACTTACCTACCCTCCTTCTCTTTGCTGTCTGGGAGGAAGAGGAATATACCAGCAATTTTTTCAGTGGCCTATGTGAGATGGAAGAAGGCAAGCCATAGATGTTTTAATCTTATGCTTCTGTGGCCTGAGATATCTTATGTATAAAATATAAAACACATGCAGTAAATTTTCCTTATGTTATGCTGGCAATTCTGTTATATACTATGTTAAACATTTCATAGATAGCTATAACTTATAATACACTCTAAATATATTTGCCATGTATTTTTTTATCTCTATGTTTTGTTTCTTTGGCATAATTTAATAAAGTAAAGTATAGCAGTTGTTAAGAGTTTAATTTGATTTTCAGCCTATGTTATTCCTTATCTATACAAATGTTTCAAAATGAGCAATATTTTTGAAATGAGAATCCCAAACATATTTCTCTGGGAAGAAAAAAATCGATATTTATTAATAGTCTTTTCCTACTTCTTACCAAGTTAGCAGATGCAACCAGACTCCAAAGTGGGTAATATAAGTTTCAGGAGAATAGAAAATTTAACTAAAAAGGGAAATTTCATTTAAACATTTGTAAAGTATAAAATTAGCATACCTGAGACTTCCAGAGAGCTTAAATACATGTCACTCTCTTAATCTTTCCATGGTGCACAATATATATTTTTGTCCTTTATTGCTTACTTACTCTATTAGGCCATTCTTGCATTGCTATAAAGAAATACCAGAGATTGGGTAATTTATAAAGAAAAGAGGTTTAATTGGCTCACAGTTCTGCATTATGAAGCATGGTGCCAACATGTGCTCAGCTTCTGATGAGGCCTCAGGGAGCTTTTACTCATGTCAAAAAGCAAAGAGGGAGCAGGAACATCACATGGTGAGAACTGGAGCAAGAGAGAGTGTGGGAGAGAGGTGGCACACACTTAAACAACAACCAGATCTCAGGGGCACTCACTTATTATTGCAAGAACAGCACAAAGCCATGAGGGATCCTGCCCCCATGGCCCAATCATCTCCTACTATGTCCCAACCCCAACATTGGGTATTACATTTTGACATGAGATTCAGGTGGGGGCAAATATCCAGACAGTATCATAAACCTTTCCAGTTTTGTCTTTTCATAATACCCTCCCACTCTCACCCCCACTTCCACTTTATGGAAAAATTTATAGTCTATAAATGTTCCAGCTGTCTCTTTGATCAGTTGCAAATATTAATTGACTGGGTCCCTCAACACTATTTCTATTTCCTCAAATTCCTATTCATTCTTCAGCAAACTCTTTGTAAGTTTGCACACTATTTGTAAATTTGTTATTGTAACAAATGTAGACATTTGGTTTTTTGTGGAGAAGGGGGAGTAGAGCATATGGGGTAAGAGTAGTGTTGAGTGTCGCTGTCTAAATGTTATTTTTAAAATTGTTATGATTTTTTAAATCAACAGCTTCAATAACTCAACAGACATAATGCATATTAAGTGTATTGATAACATCAAAACCAGGTTGAAAGTCTCATTTAGGTCCTGGAGTGAAATAAATTAAGACATTTAACTGACATTGGCAGAAGTATATCAAGAAGTTATGGTTAAATAGGAAAAAAGCACAGGGGAGTGTCACTATTTTTTTAAAAAAATTGACAAATAGAATGAAAAATAATTTCTACAACCTGGTACAGCAAGAACAGTTTGTATGGAAATAGAACAAAAAGTGATTCCATCACAAATGTAAAGCCTTTTTCTCCAAGATAATTAAAGAAAGGACAGAAACCCATTTGACCTGCTAAATTAAATACCTTTAAATATTCTCTTCTTCACAGTAGTCAGAGTGATGTATTAAACTTCTCTAATACTATCTATGGAACTTAAAATAATGTCTTTATATCATCCTATGTCCCACAAATCCCTACATGAACTGGTTCTGGTAGCTTCCAATAAACATACCTTTCACCCTCCTTGCTTACAGAGCTCCAGTTTCACCAGCCTTTTGTCTATTTTACAAACAAGGTATTTTCCATCTTAGGATTTCTTCATACTTTCTCTACTTGTTCACCTCTTTTTCTGGAATTTTGAATAAAGGGCTCCTTCTCTTCATTCAGGTCTGTGCTGACATGTCACCTTCTTTAGAAGCCTTTCCTAATCACATGTTTAATAACCTGCACTTCTACTGTATCCTACCCCCTACCGATTACTATTTTATTTTCTTCATTACATGTATTAGTGATGTCTAATGTTATATTAATTTCTTTATGTTGGTGTTTATTGCTTGAATTTCCAGATTGAATGTAAGCTCCATAAGCATCAGGAATTTTTCTCTCCTGATCTCCCTTTTCCTATTGCCGAGAATGTGACTGGCATTGGAGAAGACAAAATAAAAAATTTGTTGAAGGAATGACCATTTGCAAATTAACCATTTGGGAAAAAGGAAAGCTCAGGAAGAAAAATCTCCCTTCTCCCGTTTAAACTAATGGTAAGAGATTAAATATATTGAAATGGATTGCTCGGGGACATTTGAGAAACATAATGAGCACTCAGTTTCTTTATGGTGGTTTATTCAATGAAAATGGGTAGGTTAGATGCCCTCTTCTTATAGCCTTTTAGATTTATTGTGTGTTTGTTTTCTCAGTAGCCACTCTTCCTTTCTTTCCCCAGATAAAAGCTCTAATTATTATTATTATTTCTATTCTGAAACCCATTTAAAATGTCCAAAAACTATAGTCAAAACTGGCTTTTTCTCAATTTTTAAAAATTTTTGTGAGATTATTTCAGAGTAAGATGTAAAATGTTGAAGTCATTTTGTGACATTTCAGCTTAATACCAAAACATTTTTTTCCTTAATATGCCAAAAGACATTTTTTTTAAATATACTCTTACAGATATTAAACAGTAAAAGCACAAGAACATTATGAACACAAGATCTGATGAAATAACTCATGAAGATGTTTTATTTTAAAATCATTTTTCTATGAGTTCGAAGCAACATATTTAAGATATATAAACTGTTCATTTAGTAAATTGGAAAAGGCTTCTGTTCAGTATCAGCATGCCAAGAATTCTAGCTCTCTATGTATTTCACTATTTGTTGGAAAATAACATGTAGAAAAACAACAGTGCATTCCCTCTGCTGTTTTACTATAGTAAATATCGACATTCTTGGAATGCTAGGATTTGTTAAAGCTCATTTAGGGCAGACTGTATTCTGTTTGAGATCAAGTGTGTGTCTTCTACTTGTAGAATCTACACAGAATTCAGTAAATCTATTCCCTAATTTATTTTTGTAAGGGCATATATTTCAAGATTTTCATTGTCTAAAAATCTAGTAAGTCCTTCTTAAATGGAATTTATATCTGGATTAAAGTAGGTAGCACTTATTGTTGCAACCTATAATACTAGTAAAAGTAATATAAGTAACGTATCATAGTTCATTTTAGTATGGTAATAATTTACACTTCAATTCTCACTAGGCATATGTGTAACAACCACCAAGGACATTTAAAATAACAAGAGATTCAGTGAAATCACATGCAAAGAATTATTATTGAACGACCTGGAAATGCTTCTCATTTTCAGTCAGTGATAAAGGAGATGTCTGCTGCCTTTTACTGTTTCAAAATGGAATCTTTTAGCTAATGTTTCTGCCATCCTTTTAGGCCTTGCAATCTTCGTGCATTCATTTTCTCAAGTTTTGTGTGAATATAAGCCACATCTTCCATAATACATGGTTTTAGTACCATTTGACTTTAGCTTCTGAACAGATTTTTTTTTCTTTTTTTCTTTCATTTTAATGACAGAAGACCTTCAAAAGCAACAAGAATTCCTTGATTATTTCTAGCTATCTAGTTCTTGCAGCGATCATGCAGATTGCTTTGGTCACACACTGAGAAAACCCCATAATTACAAGGATATTTATGATAGCAGCACTGCTATTTCAGGGAATTACATTATAGTTCACACTAAAAATAAAAGGGCAACACATTTTACATGCTGGTAGCTGGTTTCCCTTGATAGATGCACTTGCTTTTTCTGCAGACTTAAATTTATCCTTCACCATATGCTCTTCAAGTACTCCAGAAAATACAATATTGCAACTGAATTCCCTTGAAAGTAAGTTACTCTTCCTCCCTACAGACTTCCTTGTCAGATTCATAGTCTCTCTTTGTTGTATTCTTAGTCTTACCTGCATACAAATGCCCAGTATTTGCAGAGCTCTAGTAATTTTGTACTTTGATTTAGAGAATACTTGGAGGAACAGCCAGGCAATCACTCCTATAACGTTTTGGGCATGACTGGGGAGATGACATAGGCAATCGTGTTATTAAAATGATTGAAAAAAGTTGGTGCTCAAGTAGCAATATTTTTGTTTTTCTTTATTTAGTCATTCTTTTCACAAAAATTCATTGAAATATTTTTGCTTTAAGCAGTTTGGAAATAATTGTACTAACCCTGCTTATGCAGAACACAACATAATCCTGTTGCATTATTTGCATGGTAGTGAAAGGACACTTATACACTCTCTGCCTAAAACAATCTCCCAGTCCAGGTGGCACCAACTAAAATTTGTTCATAGATACTTGGTCCTTTAGTTTCTCTTGGAAGTGTCTTTAAAAATATATCCTGCAAATGGCCATGCTAATCCTTGTTATACAATTACTTCCCTAAGCAACAGAGTTTCAGGGCAATTATAAGATACTTATTATGGAGAAAAGGAAAGGAGCAGGAAAATTTTAAAAGGAAGATTCTGAATACCGGGAGGAGTAGTGCATTTAATAGTCTATATAGTCCATAGATACTATTTTTTAATAAATGTGAAAGGGTGAACAGAAAATGTTAAAATAAGGCTGGCCTATTGTAGGATAGTGCCTAGCCAGTTCTTCTAAGGATTCTGACTTTGCCTTTGGCTTCCAAATTAATTTGAAATCCTACTTCATTTCAGCCACTGCATTCTATTTTTCCCCCAAAACGAAAGAAGATATTTTGCCTTCATTTGATATTGATAATTTATCAAGATATCAGAACATTAAAATAAAAAATCTTGATGTGAGACCAACCAAGGAATTCCTCATGTATCTTTAATCAGTTTTAAAACTGATTGCTACAGAGTTGGTGAAAACCGAAAAGGTATCTAGCCTCCTTTATTTTAGAAAAATCTTTCCACATTCAAAGCAAACCAAGGGTGTCTGCAAAGTATGTAGAAACTTAGAAATGGTGCAATTGGTAAATAGATGAGAAAGTGAAGGTGTTTGTTCCAGTGTGTGCATGTGGGCAGCTTGCCTAGGGATCAAATGAATCTGATCAAAACTTTTGTGATTGTTTATTTGTGAAACAGCAAGTCAGACTTGATGTTGTTTGGGTCACCTTTTGTGCCATCACTCTAATTGCAGCTCTCTTCTCTGTAGGCCTAGAACATGCAGGTGTTCAGTGCTAGGAGAGGAGGATGCAAAAGCTCCCAATCACAGCTTCTGGTCATCTGAGAAAGGTTCCAACATATGACCCCAAAAGACTGACCTCACTTCCCTGCAAGTATACCACAGAGAGAAAATCTTCCTTTGTCAAGGACATTGTTTTAGGCAGAAATAATAGCCACACCTGCCTGACACAGTGTTTTATTTATCTTTGTTTTTGTGTAGCAAATTAGAAAAACATGCACTATAGTATTTTCACATTATTTTTAAAGGGATCTATCTAGAATCATATAATTTTAAGGCTGAATGAAACTTCAAAGGCAATCTGGTCTTTTTCTAATGCATAAATCCCTTTACAATACCCACTAACATGATTTATTAGCTCAAGTCGTTTAAGTTATTGGAACTCATTGCCTCATCAGACAACCCATTTTACTTTAGCAGCTTGGAGTGTTAGAATTTTTGTCTTATATTGAGTTGAAATCTGTAGCCCTTTCTTCTCTATAACCTGAACCCATTTGTCCTAATTTGGCTTCCCAGAAGGATGCAGAAAAAGATAAGTTCTCATTTACTTGATAGTGTTTCATTTTTAAGCCACATATAGCCTAAGTCATTCATACAGTCTTTTTGATTTTTAAAAAATAACAAATTATTTCAAATATCTTCAACATCTTTCTAAAGATTCACAGATGCACAGATTTTTATAAAATGGAAGACATTTTGGAAATTATCTGTTTTTCTCTTGAAAACACAGTTCTATAAAATCCTAATTCTAGAGATGAGAATAGTAAAAAAAAAAAAAAAAAAAAATCACCATAAGATACTTATCTTTGGTTCAGTCTCTGTATTAGTCTGTTCTTACATTGCTATAAAGAAATACCTGAGACTGAGTAATTCATAAGAAAAGAGATTTAATTGGCTCACAGTTCTGCTGGCTGTACAGGAAGCATAGCCGTGTCTGCTCCTGGGGAGGCTTCCAGAAGCTTCCAATCATGGTGAAAGGCAGAGAAGGAGCAGGCAGGTTACATGGTGCAAACAGAAGCAAGAGAGGGGGCAGGGAGGTACCACACACTTTTAAATGATCTCAGAAGAACTCACTCACTATCACAAGGACAGTACCAAGAGTGATGGTGATAACCATTCATGAGAAATCCACCCCACTGAGCCAATCGCTTCCTACCAGGCCCCACCTCCAACATTGGGGATTGCATTTCAATACGAGATTTGGGCAAGAATACACATGCAAACTATATTGGTCTCCTTATGCCTGTGATGCTTGAACTAGAATACTCCTTCTCCTGGAGTTAGGTGAAAGGAGTCATAGGTAAACCTGGTGAATCTTTTTTTTTAACATTAACTTTCTTTAAAGTTTTCTCTCAAAGGAGTCTCAGGATTTTTATATTAAATAAAAACTTTGACATAAGAAGAATTCAAATAAAAATTTGGCATGAAATATGAGATTTCAAATAATTTGTAATTTTCAGAATGCTGCTTTAGTCTAGTCCAGTTGTTCTCAGCCATGGGTGATTTTGTTCACTGAGGACATTTGGCCATATCTGAAAACGTTTTGGGTTATCACAAAATACTAGAGTGCTACTAGAATCAAGTGAGTAGAAGCTGGGGTATGCTGGTAAGTCTGCAATGTACATGAAAGACATCCACAACAAAGAATTATTTTAACTAAAAATGTCAACAGTTTGGGTTTGAGAAACCCTGAATTTCTCAATCCTGGTTACCATTACGGGTACCTCAATGGAATGTTTATTATTCGTCATTAATGATTTCTCATCTTTTAAGTGCAGAATAGAAAGTACTACCTTGATAGTATAAACCAAAAAAATATCTGAGACAGGTCTCAATCAATTTAGAGATTTATTTTGCCAAGGCTAAGGACATGTCCGGGTAAAAGGAACACAAAATCACAGAAACAGTCTGTGATCTATGCCTTTTTCTAAAGATGATTTTGAAGGCTTTAATATTTCAGGGGGAAAATGAGCTGGAGGTGAAAAAGAGAGAATATTATATGGTCACATTACTGAATCCACATGTTGCAAGAGAAAGAAGCAGGTAGAGGAATAGTCAATTATGTATTTGTCTCGTGCTCTGTAAATCAGCACTTCACATAAGATAAAGTGAACATAGAATAGTTACCTGTGGGAGACCTGGCCTTTTTAGCTGTGGCCATCTGCTTAGGAACACAAGGAAAGGCAGTTTTGTTTCTTGTATTACTCAGCTTTCAGCTTATTTTTTTTTTCCTTTTGGCATAGTGAAATGTGGTCCTGATATTTTATTTTCCTTTCACAAAAGGAAAGGTTTTCTCTTTTTTTTTCTTTTTTAAATAAAGGAGTCTAGATGCCTTTTCTGTTTTCACCAACTCTGGAGCAATCTGAGTGATCTCCAATCATATCTTTTGTTCTGGTTTTCTCGGTAGTCCCATGAAGAAGGTTGACCGCCTCCTATATTAAAAAACTGCATACGGGGCCTTAACACTGAGACTAGGTTTCATAGAGTGCTGTGTTTCTCAGGATTCTCCAAACAGAACCAAGAGAATGTGCGTATAGAGAGAAACAGATTATTTTAGAAATTGGCTCACATGATTATGGAGGCTGACAAGTCCAAAATCTGCAGAGCGGGTTGGCAGGCTGGAGACCCAGGAAAGAGCTGAGGCTGCAGTTCAAGTCCAGAGACCATCTGCTGCAGATTCCTTCTTGCTCAGGGTAGAAAAGTCTTTTGTTCTTATCATGTCTTCAAGTGATTGAATGAGACCCACACACATTATGGAGGGCAGTTTGCTTTACTCAAAGTCTATTAATTTGAATATCAATCTTTCCCAAAATGCTTGGACAGAAATATCCAGAATAATATTTGATCAAATATCCAGGCACTGTAGTCTAGCCAAGTTGACATACAAAATTAGCCATCATAGTACTTTTCTGCTAAATGCATTGTGTCTCATCCTGTGCTCACTCTGTACCTCTTTAGGAGTATTAGAAGAGATCAACGATGCAGGGATGGCCATGGCTTCCTCAAAGAGCTTGTATCACCAGCCTCTCCTCAGCAAAACAGGCAATTATAGCAATTTTGGATTGGTCCATGTGCTGCATGATTCATGTTTTACTTTGAATTTATTTGTAACATACGTATGTTATCATATTAGGGAAGGCTGACCTCTGCTAGAAAGTTCCACCTAAGTCAGGTAGACCTCTACAGCTTTCAGGTAATTCCAATTACTCTTTGAGTTCTTCCCTGAGCTCCAGTGAGCCTCTTCCAGTGAGCAGGGATTGGGGTGGGAGATATCTATGCGTGGTAGCAGTAATGACATGTCTTACTTGCACCCTTCTAGACATAATGTTTCACTTTATCTTTTAGAGAGATTTTATTTGAATGTATCAAGAGGGCCTTAATCTTTCCCTCAGGTTGGCTAAACTTTAGACTGTTTTCTTCCTGACTATAGGCCCCTGACTTATCTTTTCTTAGAGCACTTATTTAGAAAATCTGCAATTGTAAACAATTCTTCTGCCCATTTGAAATGTATGTAAATCTTCTTCCAGCCTCTTGTCAGTTTTATAACCCAGGAAATGGCTGTCTGGAGGACCTGGGAATTATCCTTGTGAAATGTATTCAAGGAAGATAGCACCCCATTTCCCAGTCTCTATGGATAGCTAGGAGCCTAGTTAGATGGGCACTAATTATCAACACATATGGCCTAATCAAAGAGAAAAATGGTTTGCAAACTCAGCAATAACTTAATGTACTCAATACATTTTATTTCAGCAAAGTTGATTTCAGTCTTTTTTCACTATCACAATAGGCTGAATATTCTTCCTTGCCTGTTTAACTTTGTCTGGTGCACATTTTACTTTGACAGTATTTTTAAAGTAACTCTCAACTTCCTATACTATAAGGATAAGTGATGATATTAATTTCAGGTACCATGATGTATCAGGAATCACAGGATAAGCAGTTTTCTGTGGTAGGCAAGTTTCACTGGGCTTTTCTAATTTTTCAAGGAGAAACTAGATAGGTATTATCTTTGAAGGATGACATGCAGAAAAAAATGAAACTTTTCCCACATTTTCAACAGTAATGAAAACTGTCTTACCCTCAAACACCTCAAGGCATTATTCTGAAAATTCTAACTTAAAATTAATTTCAATACTTTTCAAATGTCAAAAATGTAAGTAATAGTAAGGATAGAGAGAAGAAAGCCAAAAGAAGCAAAAGCTGTGTAAATATATTTAGAAAGAACATAAGAAGCTGTTTAAGTTTTATTCTTCAAATTTGGAAAGATATCCACAGACCAAAGAAATAGAAAGATACATAACTTTGTAACTTCTTATTACTACTCAATGTATTTTCTTTTAGACCTATTGCCTACCACTTATCTTCCTTTGAAATCTGAGATGCTAATACTGTAAAATAAAGATCAAGAAACAGTAGATTTTAGATTTTACCAACCCAATCCCACCATATCATATTTTTTTTTCTAAATTTTTCTCCCAGGTTTCTCTTTAAAAACATTTGTGGGTATATAATAGGTATACATATTTACGGGGTGCATGAGATATTTTGATACAGGCATGCAATGTGTCTTAATACAGGCATGAAATTCCCCCCAGTAATGTACAAGGGTTTCTTTTTCTCCACATCCTCATCAGCATTTGTTCTTGCCTGTCTTTTGGATATAAGCCATTTTAACTGGGGTCAGATGATATCTCATTGTAGTTTTGATTTGCACTTCTCTGATGATCAGTGATGTTGAACAACTATTCATTTGCCTGTTTGCCATTTGTATGTCTTCTTTTGAGCAACATCTATTTAAATCTTTTATCCAATCTTTGATCAGATTATTAGATTTTGTTTTTCCTTCACAGTTGTTTGAACTCCTTACATAGTCTGGTTATTAATCCCTTGTCAGATTCGTAGTTTGCAAATATTTTCTCCCATTTTATGAGTTGTCATTTCACTTTGTGGATTGTATCCTTTGCTTTGCAGAAGCTTATTAACTTGATGTAATCCTATTTGTCCATTACTGTTTTGGTTGTCTGTGCTTGTGGGGTATTACTAAAAAAACGTTTGCCCAGACCAATGTCCTGGAGGTTTTCCCCAGTGTTTTCTTGTGGTAGTTTCATAGTTTGAAAACTTAGGTTTAAGTCTTTCATGCATTTTGATTTAATTTTTGTATATGGTGAGACATAAGGATCTAGTTTCATTCTTCCGTATATGAATATCCAGTTTTTCCTGCAACATTTATTGAAGAGACTGTCTTTTCCGCTGTGTGTGTTCTTGGCATCTTCATCAAAAATGAGTTCACTATAGGCATGTGGATTCATTTGTGGGTTCTCTCTTCTGTTCCATTGGTCTATATGTCTGTTTTTATGCCAGTGCCATGCTGTTTTGGTTACTGTAGCTTATAGTATAACTTGTAGTCAGGTAATGTGATTCCTCTAATTTTGCTCTTTTTGCTTAGGATAGCTTTGGATATTTTGGGTCTTCTGTAGTTCCATATAAGCTTTAGGATTGTTTTTTCTGTTTCTGTGAAGAATATCATTTGTATTTTGGTAGGGATTGCGTTGAATCTGTAGACTGCTTTGAGTAGTATGAACATTTTAACAATATTGATTCTTCCGATCCACTAACATGGAATTTTTTAAATGTTTTGTGTTCTCCTCAATTTCTACCATCAGTGTTTTATAGTTTTTATTATAGAGATCTTTCACTTCCTGGATTAAGTTAATTCCTACGTATTTAATTTCATGTGTGGCTATTGCAAACGGAATTTTTTTTAATTTCTTTTTCACATTGTTCACTGTTGGCATATAGAAATGCTACTGATTTTTATATGTTAATTTTGTATCCTGCACCTTTAGTGAATTTGTGTATCAGTTCTAATAGTTTTATGTGGAGTCTTGAGGCTTTTCCAAATAAAAATCATATCATCTGCAAACAAGGATAGTTTGATTCCTTTGTTTTTAATTTTAATACCCTTTATATCTTTCTCTTGTTTGATGCTCTAGCTAGGACATCTAGTACTAATGTTGAGTAACAGTGGTGACAGTCGGCATCCCTCTGGTGTTCCAGATCTTAAAGGAAAGGCTTTCGGTTTTTCCCCATTCATTTTGATACTAGCCGTGGGTCTGTTGTATATGTCTTTTATTATGTTGTGATATATTTTGTCTATCTCCAGTTTTTTTAGGGTTTTTGTCATGAAAGAGATGTTGAATTTTATCAAATGCCTTTTCAGGATTAATTGAAATGATCATGTGACTTTTATCCTTAATTCTGTTGAGACAATGTATCACGGTGGTTAATTTATGTATGTTGAACCATCCTTGTGTCTCAGAGATAAATACCGCTTGGTCAAAATGGATAATCTTTCTAATGCATTGTTGAATTTGGTTTGCTAGTATTTTGTTGAGGATTTTTACATCAATATTTATCGGAGACATTGGTCTTAGTTTTCTTTTTTTGATGTGTCTTTGAGGGTAATATTAACCTCATAGAATGAGTTTGAAAGTATTCCCTTATCTTTTATTTTTTGGAATAGTTTGACAGGATTGGTATTAGTTCTTGTTTAAATGTTTGGTATAATCCAGCAGTAAAGTCATCAGGTCCTGGGTTTTCTTTACTGAGAATCTTCATATGATGGTTTCAATCTCATTCTTTGTTATTGGTCTGTTCAGGCTTTGGATTTCTCCTGGTTCAAATTTGGTGGGTTGTATGTATTTAGGATTTTGTCCATTTTTTCTAGATTTTCTAATTTATTGGTATGTAATTGCTCATAGTAGCCATAAATTATCCTCTGAATTTCTGCAGTATCAGTTGTAATGTCTCCTTTTTCATTTCTGATTTTAATTTATTTTTTTTTCTTAGTTCGTCTGGCTAAAGGTTTGTGAATTTTGTTCAACTTTTAAGTAAACCAACATTTTGTTTCATTCATCTTTTATTCATTTTGTTTTCATTGATTTTTGCTCTGATCTGTATTATTTCTTTTCTTCTTCTGATTTTGGGTTTGGTTCACTCTTGCTCTTCTAGTTCTGCAAGACACATTATTAGATTGTTCATTTGAAGTTTTTATTCATTTTTGACGTAGGCATTTATAGCTATAAACTTCCCTCTTACTATTGCTTTTGCTTTATCATATAGGTTTTAGTATGTCATGTTTCCATTATTATTTGTTTTAAGAATTTTTTCACTTTCTTTCTTAATTTCTTCATTGATCCACAGGTCACTCAAGAGCATATTGCTTAATTTCATGTATATTATAGTTTCAAAAATTCCTCTTATTATTAATTTCTAGTTGTATTCCATTGTGGTCAGAAAAGATACTTGATATTATTTAAAATTTTTAACATTTTAAGATGTGTATTTTGGCCCAAATATGGCCTATTCTTGAGATGACCTATGTGCTGAGGAAAAGAATGTATATTCTGCAGCTCTTGGATGAAATGTTCTATAAATATCTATTAGATTATTCAGTCCATTGTGCAGATTAAGTCTCATGTTTCTTTGGGGATTTTCTGACTGGAAGATCTGCCCAATACTGAATGTGGTGTGTTGATGTCTCCAGCTATTATTGTATTGGGATGCTCCAGGTTTTGGTGCCTATACATTTAAAATGGTTATACCCGCTTACTGAATTGACCCTGTTATCACTATATAGTGACCTTCTTTGTCTCTTCTGAAAGTTTTTGTCTTGAAATCTATTTTCTTTAAGTATAGCAACTCCTGCTCTAGTTTGGTTTCCATTGTCATAGAATGTCTTTTTCATCCCTTTATTTTTAGTCTATGTGTGTCTTTATAGGTGAGGTGTGTTTCTTGTAGACAACAGATCAGTCGATCTTGTTTTTTCTTCCAGTCAGCCTCTCTATATCTTTTCATTGGAGAGTCCATTTCATTTTCATTCAGCGTTAATATTCATAAGTAAAGACTGACTCCTATCATTTTGTTATTTGTTTTCTGGTCTTCCTTCTTTCTTTTCTTCCTGTCTTCCTCTAGTGAAGGTGATTTTTATCTGGTGATATGATTATTTTCTTACATTTTTTTTGTGTGTATACATAGTATGTTATGTGTTTTTCTTGTTTTTTTTTTTGGTTTGAGGTTAACATGAGGCTTCCAAATACTGTCTCATAATTCCTTATTTTAACCTGATAACAACTTTAACACTATTTACCTAAACAAACAAGGAAAAAGAAAATTAATGAAAACTCTACACGTTAACTTCACATTTTGTTGTTTCTATTTATATCTTATTGTACTATGTCTTGAAAAGTTATTGTAGTTTGTTTAAAGACTTTAGTTTTGCACCTGATAGTGATGTTGACAATGCTATAATTAATTATAAATTGATATTGTTTTAAAGTTATTATATGTAATAATGAAAACATTACATCTTTTGAAAATGTAAGATAAATCTGTTATATTTCTTTCTTTGTTTTTTATTTTAAACCTATATGTCTATGGTTTTAAAGTGCTCCAATGTTAAAAGCTATTTATTTCAATAAATGTAACAAAAACAGTCCTTAAATAAAAATTGGACTATCTCCTTGGCTTGGAACTAGATGCCTTCCAAGCCCAGCTTAATAAAAACCAAAATTGCTTGGGTTTATTCTCTGTGCAAATTAAAAAGAAAATAAAAGATCAAAACAATTTTAGGAACTTCTTAGCACCAAAGGCATGAAAATTGTTTCACAGTGCAAAAATTAGCAGTCCTATAGCAGATAAACTCCTTTTCAAATACAGGATATCATTTTCTCTTGAATATCATGTGCATTGTATCCAGACTTGGTGCTATGTGACTATTGGTTTTGCAAATTTGCCAAAATCCTAAGGGCATTTCAGTTGACTTTAAATTAATTTTTTAAACAATTTTTTTTTCAATTTCTTCTGTACTCAAGAAAGTCTCAGAAGTCTATCTTAAGAAGTCTTAAGTATGCATTATTTACTACTCACATTATTATTGGAATTATTTTTACTCCTAATTGGCCACTAAAATCCTTAATGTTTGAATAATGTGCATAAAGCATCATAAAATCTAAAAAATATTATATGAGTATTTCTTGTTTAATGCATGTGTTACTGATATTATGAAAATACTTGTTTACTGAAAGGCTTTTTATGTCAGGAGGCATCTATATGTTAGAGAAGTCACACATGGCCTTAGTACTTGTCCCTTTCTCTCATCATCTTTCTTATTAACCCCACGGGTGATATTATTCTCTACTATTCTTTGGGTACAGAATATATATACATCATTTCCTTTCCACTGGAATGTAATCTGCCCTGTATGCCATCACAAGACCTTCATAATTTATAAATCCATGCTGGAGATAGAAAATTGTTTATCTGGGTTTGGTGAGTCATCTACAGTTTGCTTTTGGTTATCCTGATTAGAAAGTTCATTTGTTCTTTCATTCTAACTTTGTAGGATAGAATAAGTTAATTGGCCTGTGTTCCAGTTAAATTAAATATATTGAGACACTTTATTTTCTCAGTGTACAAAGGACTACTTTTTTATAACCTTTCAAACTGAGAAAAATCTTAAAGATATTTTCAAAATGGATGCAAAATTGTTCTTAGTGCTTATAATCTGGATGTCTTTAAAGCTAATAAATAGATTCTAACTTATTATAACTTCATCTGTAAACCAAAGTAATTCCTGAAACATATATGTAGCATCTTGTATGATACTAGTTATTATAAAAAAAGAAATGATTAAAATATAAGCCTGCTTACAAGAAACTTACGTTCTAGTTGTCCAAAGGTAATGTATTCATAGATCATCACAATTCAAATCAATATCTGAAATGCATTACGGCAGGGACAGACTGTATTAACAGTTTAGAGAAGGTTGGGTTCATTTTTGGCTCTTTGTAGATATGGCTTGAGGAGTAATGGAAAGATTTAGGAAATAGGGTAGGTTTTGCTTTAGAGGTAGTTGGTGAAGACAAATGCATTTTTCAGGACCACAGCTATTCTTTTTTAAGGCAGTAACTTGCTCAGGAAGATCTTCATTGATTTATTCAGAATTTACATTGTTCTTTTGTTCATTGAAATGTTGAACATATCTGAGTTCAGGGGCATTCTAGCCAGACTAAGGCTTCATTCTGAGAGCATTGATTTTAGACCAGTAATCTAAGATGTTTTTGTTCTGCAGAGGATTACAAATTTCACCAGTACCACACTCCACACATTTCACTTTATTTTATTTTTATTTTTGGCAGCAGGAGTGGGGTGTGTGTGGGGGACAGGGCAGTGGGGTTGGAGTGAAGGATAGGGAATTAGAGGTCGATGCAAAGGTGACATGTTTTGGAGGTAGAACTCTGAGTTATTTATCAGCCTGAGTGGCAGCTTGCCCTATAAAGTATAAGCAGCTATAGCAACAGCTAAATACTTCATGATTCTAAAGAAAGACAAGATTGGTCATCCTTGCATTCTACATAGCTATATAACTTTAAATAGAGAAATGCCAAATTGAAACATGAGCTGAGAAGAGACACAGCATACATGACTTGAGAATACAGAGGAAAAACTAAAATCCTAGATGGTTCTGTTATTTTTTAATAAAATATTTTGAAATAATTTTAGATTTACAAAAACTTTACAAAAATAGAACAAAGTATTCACATATACCGCTCATCTAGTTTCTCCTAATGTTAACAGTTTATATAACCACAATACAAATATTACAATATAAGGCAATTAACATTGGTTCAATATCATTAACTACAGAAAGTATTAGCATTTCACTAGTTTTACACTGTAATGTCATTTTTCTAGTCTAATGTCCAGTCCAAAGTCCTGCATTGCATTCAGGTGTGTCCCTTTAGTCTCCTTCAGTCTGTGTTGTTCTTCAGCTTTCCTTTGTCTTTCATAACTTTGATGTTTCTGTATTACTTATTTTGTAGAATAATGTGGGATTATTATTCAATTTAGCGTTGTCTGATATCTTCTTACGGTTAAACTGATGTTAGCATTTTTGGTAGGAATATCACAGAAGTGATATTATATCCTCCTCAGTAAATAAATTTAGGGACTATATGATGTCAATACGCCATATTACCAGTGATGTTAACGATAAACATTTAATTAGGATGATGTCTGCCAGATTCCCCCCTTGTAAGGCATGCTGTTTTTCCCTTTGTAACCAATAAATATATATTGAAGGAGATATTTTGAAGCTATGTAAAAAATCCTATTTTTCTGCAAATTTTTGCCCACTGAATTTAGCATTGATCATGCCTATAATGATTAAAGTTAAAAAAATAGTTAGACAGATACTATTGATATGTATGTAAACTGATTCCCCCCAAAATTACAATCCCAGTTAAATTTTATATAGAGAGTAGTAGTTGGAAATATACTGCTTTGAAAGAATCATTGCTACCTGAATGTACTAAATCTTAAAGTATAATTTTTGTAATTCTTTTATAACTGACTCTGAAATTCCCAGTTTTGTAGCAACTAAAAGTATAGGCAATGGTTGTAAGAAGGAATTTTATTTCTGTAAAGTATCGAACATTGTTTTGCATATAACTTTTATTGTTTTTTATAAATAATGTATGTTAGACCTTTTTCTGGCTTCGTAATTTTTTTATTACTAGTTTATCTTCTTTTATTTTATTATTATTATTATTTTTGAGACAGAGTCTCACTCTGTTGCCAGGCTGGAGTGCAGTGGTGTAATCTCGGCTCACTGCAACCTACACCTACTGGGTTCAAGTGATTCTCCTGCCTCAGCCTCCCAAGTAGCTGGGACTACAGGCACCCACCACCATGCCCAGCTAATTTTTTGTATTTTTAGTAGAGATGGGGTTTCACCATGTTGGCCAGGTTGGTGTCGATATCTTGACCTCATGATCCACTCACCTCAGCCTCCTAAAGTGCTGGGATTACAGGCATGAGCCACCGCACCCAGCCTAGTTTATCTTTTTATTCTTTTGTTTTTATTTTTAATTGATTTTATTTTTTAAAAAAATTTACTTTAGATTCAGGGGCACATGTGCAGGCTTGTTATATAGGTAAACTCATGTCATGGAGGTTTGTTATACAGATTATTTTATCACCTCGGTACTAAGCCTAGTACCCAATAGTTATTTTTTTCCTTATCCTTTCCCTCCTCCCACCTCCCACCTTCCAGTAAGCCCAAGTGTCTCTTTCTTTCTTTGTGTCTATAAGTTCTCATCATTTAGCTATCACTTATAAGTGAGAACATGTGGTATTTGGTTTTCTGTTACTGCATTAGTTTGCTAAGAATAATGGCATCCAGCTGTATCCATGTTCCTGCAAAAGGCATGATCATGTTCCTTTTTATGGCTATGTAGTATTCCATGGTGTATATGTACCACTTTTTCTTTATTCAGTTTGTCATTGATGGGCATTTATGTTGACTCCATGTCTTGGCCATTGTGAATAGTGCTGCGAAAAACATACACATGCGTGTGTCCTTATGGTAGAATGATTTATATTCCTTTGGTTATATACCCAGTAATGGGATTGCTAGGTCAAATCACATTTCAGATTTTAGCTTTTTGAGGAATTGCCACACTGCTTTCCCCAATAGTTAAAATCATGTACACTCCCACCAACAACGTATGTGTTCCCTTTTCTCCACAATCTTGCCAGCAACTGTTATTTATTTATTTTTCTTTTTAATAACATCCATTCTGAGTGGTCTGAGATGGTATCTCTTTGCAGTTTTGATTTTCATTAATCTAATGATCAGTGATATTGAGCTTTTTTTCATATGGTTGTTGGCTGCATGTATGTCTTCTTTTGAAAAGTGTCAGTCTGTATCCTTTGCCCACTTTTTAATGGAGTTGTTTGGTAATTTTTTTTTGTAAATTTCTTTAAGTTCCTTATAGATTCTAAATATTAGACCTTTGTTGGACACATAATTTGCAAATATATTATCTCATTCTGTAGATTGTCTGTTTACTCTGTTAATAGCTTCTTTTGCTTTTCAGAAACTCTTAAGTTTAATTGGATCCCATTAGTCAATTTTTGCTTTGTTTTGCAATGACTTTTGGTGTCTTTGTCATGAAATCTTTGCCTGTTCCTATGACCAGAATGGTATTGACTAGGTTGTCTTCAAGGTTTTTGTAGTTTTTGGTTTTACATATAAGTTTTTAATCCATCTTGAGTTGATTTTTGTATATAGTGGAAGAAAGATATCCAAGTTCAACCATCTGAATATGGCTAAACAGTTATCCCAGAACCATTTATTTGATAGGGAGTCATTTTCCTATTGCTTGTTTTTGTCAGCTCTTTTGGAGATCAGATGGTTGTAGTTGTACAGCTTTATTTCTGGGCTCTCTACTCTGTTCCATTGGTGTATGTGTCTATTTTTGTACCAGAATGGTACTGTTTTGGTTGCTGTAGCCCTGTAATATATTTTGAAGTCAAGTAACACGAGCTCTCCTGCTTTGTTCTTTTTACTTAGAATTGCCTTGGCTATTCTGGCTCTTTATTACTTCCATATAAATTTTAAAATAGTTTTCTCAAGTTCTGTGAAGAAAGACATTGGTAGTTTGATAGCAATTGCATTGAATCCATAAATCGCTTTGGGCAGTATGGCCACTGTAATGAGATTGATTCTTTCCATCCATGAGTATGGAATGTTTTTCAGTTTGTTTATGTCATCTCTGATTTCTTTGAGCAGTGTTTGTAATTCTCATTGTAGAGATCTTTCACCTCCCTGGTAGGCTTTTTTCCTAGGCATTTTCTTCACTTTGTAGCAATTGCAAGGTTGTGAATGGGATTGTGTTTCTAATTTGGCTTTCAGGTGTGCTATTTTTGGAGTATGGGAATGCTAGTGATTTTTATACATTGGTTTTTGTACCCTGAGACTTTGCTGAAGTTGTTTGATTGGCTGAAGAAGCTTTTGGGCTGAGATTATAGGATTTCCTAGATATAGAATCGTGACATCTGCAAACAGGAATAGATTGACTTCCTCTCTTCCTATTTGGATGCCCTTTCTTTCTCTTGCCTGATTGCTCTGGCCAGACCTCCGATACTATGTTGAATAGGAATGATGACAGAGGGCAGTATTCAAGGGAAATGCTTCCAGGTTTTACCCATTCAGTATAATGTTGACTCTGGGTCAGCCATAGATTATTTTGAGGTATTTCTTCAATACTTAGTTTATACAGAGTTTTTAACACAAAGGGATGTTGAATATTATCAAAAGATTTTCTGCATCTATTGAGATAATCGTGTGATTATTGTCCTTAGTTATGTTTATGTGATTAATACATTTATTGATTTGTGTATATTTAACCAACCTTACATTGCGAGGATGAAGCCTACTTGATTGTAATGGATTAGCTTTTCGATGTGCTGCTGAATTCTGTTTGCAAGTATTTTGTTGAGGATTTTTGCATGAATTTTCATCAAGGTTATTGGCCTGAAGTTTTTTCTATGTTTGTGTGCCTCTGCCAGGTTTGGATATCTGGATGATGCGTGTCTCAGATAAGTTGGGGAGGAGTCCCTTCTCCTCAATTTTTTGCAATAATTTTGTTAGAAATGGTACCAGCTTTTCTTTGTATATCTGGTAGAATTTGGTTTTGTATCTGTCTGGTAGTGAACTTTTTTGGTTGGTAGGCTATTTATTACTGATTCAACTTTGAAGCTCATTATTGGTCTGTTCAGGGAATCAGTTCTTTCTGGTTCAGTCTTGGGAGGATGTATGTTTCCAGGAATTTATCCATTTCTTCTTGGTTTTCTAGTTTGTGTGCTTAAGTGTGTTTATAGTAGTTTATGATGGTTATTTTTTATTTCTGTGGGATCAGTGGCAACATCCCATTTGTCCATTTTAATTGTGTTTATTTTGATCTTCTCTCTTTTCTTTATTAGTCTAGCCAGTTCCCCAGCAGTCTCCAACCTTTTTGGCACCAGGGACTGATTTCATAGAAGACAATTTTCCCACAGATGGTGAAGGTGGGGGATGGTTTCAGGATGAAACTGTTCCTCCTCAGATTATGAAGCATTAGTCAGAGTCTCATAAGGCACATACAACCTAGATCTCCTTCATGAGCAGTTCACAATAGGTTCCCACTCCTATGAGAATCTAATGCCACCACTGATCTGACAGGAGGAGGAGCTCAGGTAGTAATGCTTGCTTCCCAGCTGCTCACCTCGTGTTGTGCAGCCCAATTCCTAATAGGCCACGGACTGGTACAGGTCTGTGACCTAGGGGTCAAGGACCCCTGGAGTACCCTCTCTATCTTATTTTTTTTTCCAAAACCAACTAGATTTGTTGGTCTTTTGAATGGTTATTCATATGTTGATTTATTTCTGTTCAGCTTTGATGTATTGGTATATCTCATCTCCTGCTAACACTGAGGTTGACATGTTCTTTCCTCTCTTACTCTTTCAGTTGTGATGCTGGGTTTTTAATTTGAGATTTTTCTAACTTTTTAATGTTAGATGTGAATATTCAGTGCTATAAATTTCCCTCTTACCACTGCCTTTACTGTGTCCCAGAGATTCTGGTATGTTGTATCTTTGTTCTCATCAGTTTCAAAGAACTTACTGATGTCTGCCTTAATTTCATTATTCACCCGATAGTCATTCAGGGGTGAGTTGTTTAATTTCTATATAATTGTATCATTTTGAGTGAGCTTTTTAGTCTTGATTTCTATTTTTATTGTGGTGTGGTCTGGGAGTGTTTGGTATGATTTGGACTCTTCTGCATTTCTTGAGGATTATTTTATGTCTGATAGTGTGGCCGATTTTAGAGTATGTGCCATATGACAATAAGAAGAATGTATATTTTGTTGATATGGGTGGAGAGTTCTGTAGATGTTTATCAGATCTGTTTGGTCCAGTGTTGAGTTCAGGCCCTGAACATATTTGTTAATTTTCTGCCTTGATGATCTGTCTAATACTGTCAGTACAATGTTGAAGTCTGCCACTATTCTTGTGTTGGAATCCCAGTCTCTTTTTAGGTCTCTAAGAACTTGCTACATGAATCTGGGTATTCCTGTTTTGGGTGCATATATATTCAGAATAGTTAGGTCTTCTTGTTGAATTGAACCCTTTACCATTATGTAATGCCATTCTCTGTCTTTTTTTATGTTTGTTGATTTAAAGTCTGTGTTGTCTGAAATTAGGGTTGCAGCCCTTGCTTTTTTCTGATTTCCACTTGCTTGGTAGATTTTCTTCCACCCCTTTATTTTTAGCCTGTGGCTGCCATTGCATCTGAAATGGGACTCTTGAAGACAGCATACCACTGGATGTTGCTTTTTTTATCCAGCTTGCCATTCTATACCTTTTAGATGAGGATACTTAGCCCATTTACATTCTGGGTTAGTATTCATATGTGTGGATTTAATCCTGTCATTGTGTTGTTAGCTGGTTATTACACAAGCTTGTTTCTGTGGTTGCTTTATAGTGTCAGTGGTCTTTACGCTTGAGTATTTTTTTTATAATGACTGCTAAATTTCTTTCCTTTCCATATTTGGTGCTACTTTCAACATCTCATGTAAGGCATGAGAAGGAAACTTTGAGGGTATAAATAAAAACAGAGTTTACATCTTTTAAGTCCTTTTCTTCCTGATGTAAGATCCAGCAATCTACAAATTTTAAGTGTACAATTTGATGAAATATGTAGAAACACCCATGTAATCCACACCCTTGCTTAGATAGCATTTCATTCCCCATTACCACAAAATGCATCACTGGTATTCCCAATCAAACCCCTGGCCCCTGATGCTGCCGTTGTTCTGCCTTTCTTTTACAACATATTAGATCTGCCTATTGTAGCAGTTCATAAAAATGGAATCACATAGTGTGCACTATTTTTGTCGATCTGCTTTTGTTAAGCATAAAACTTTGATATTGATCCATGTTGAATCAAATATCACTAGTTCTCTCTTTATTTTGGAGTATTATTCCATTTTAATTATTTACCTGAATTTTTAATATCCATTCTCTTGTTGGTGGATGTTTGAGTTGTATCCATTTTAGGACTATGGTGAACAATAGCCTCTATAATATTCCTATGTAAGTTTGTTTGTTTGTTTGCTTTTATGGACCTTTTAAAAATTTTTTCTTGGGAGTGCAATTTTTGAATTATATATTAAGTGTATAGTAACATGCTGATAGATTGCTAAACAGCTTAACAAAGTATTATTACTATTTTTATATTTCTGCCATTATTGTATCAGAGTTTCATTGCTACACATTTATTGCCAACATAAGGAAGTGACACTCATTTTAAACTTAGCTTTACTTTTTGGTATGTAATGGCATCACACTGTGGTTTAATTTGCATTTCCTTGACAACAAAGATATTATGCATCTTTATGTGCTTCTTAGCTGTTCATATATCTTATTTTGAATTATCTACTTAAGTCTTTGCTCATTTTTATAATTTTTTATTGTTCAGTTGTAGGAGTACTTTATATATTCTTCGTTAAATTCTTTGTCAGATATATTTTTCTAAAGGCTTTTGCCCAATCAGTGATTTATATATGTATGGATTTTATTTTTATTTTTTTACTTTATATAGTGTAAAAGTTCACACTTATTCAGAATTGAATAACAGAAGTCTACATGAGCTCTCTGAAGCAAAAATGGTGGGCTTTGAGAACTTACCATTAAGAATATAACATGTATTAGAGACTAAGAAAAGAGAAATATTATGGCTTTCAGGAAATAACTATAACAATTGATTTGACAGGATGACAATCCGTTTCCCTGTTTCTGTCACCACATCTTTCTCTGACATTCTTCTTCTGCTTCCTTCTACTTTTAAGGACCATTGTGATTACCTTGCACACGCCCAGATATTCTAGGATAGCATCCATATCTTAAGGTGAGAGTTTACTATACCCTTAATTCCACTGGGAATCATAGTTCCCTTTTGCCATGTAACATAACATACTCACAGGTTCTAGGGATTACAATATGGACATCTTTGGAAGAACTGTTTCTTTGCCCACCACGAATGAATTTATCTTCTCTAAGAAAAGACTGCTAATAATTGAATGCCTCCATTTATGTAGTTGATGGTGGCAATAATAACTGTATTAATGGTTTTTGATAATATCTTTAGGAGGAAGAATTTTAAATATAAGAATACAAAATAAGTTCTGGAAGGATTCTGGTTAACCTTCATGGCATTTTTGAAATGTTATTCCTCAATTAATTATAAAAGTCCAATGAGAATGAGGACCTATTTCAATATTTTGAGGTAGTTATCATAAATAGATATGAGCTTTCTTTTTTTTCTACTTAATTTTGGCATTGAATGCATTAGAAAGCTCATATATTTGCATGACCCATGGTTCTATTTGTGACGAATAAGCAGAATACTGAAAAAATATTGGCATTCAGGTAGAAAAGGTGAATTAGGATAATAATATTTCAAGTCAAGAAAATATGTCATACTCAAGTAAATATGAGTAATTAAATGTGATTAAGTGTAAGATGTAAATTATGTATCTAGAGAGAAAGCTAGAAAGACAGGAACCCAGTAGGGGTGTTGTTACAAACAGGTAGTTTAGACAGTTCCTCTTAAAAGAGTTTCACTTTGTTACAAACAAGGTGTTCTTCTCCAAAAGGTCTTCACTTCCTTGTACTGTCTGTCCTGAAGTCTTATTTCCCTGTTCTTTGTCTAAAATAATCTTGCCTGACAATCTGTCAGCCCCTCCTTCCCTGCTGTTCTCAGGCATGCCCGCCAAGAAATCATCACCTCCCTCCCTCCTGTAGCAGCTTTTCCCCACCAAAACTGATCTTCCCACCTTCCCACCAGTGTAACTGCATTCCTGTACTTTTCAAGTTAGCAAACCGTGTTCAGCTTAGATTGTGTGGTCCAACCCCAGCCAATGGAGGGAGGACATAGTAACAGGGACAAGCTGTGTTAAGAGATAATAAAAACCCCTGCTCTCCTTTGTTCTGTATGCTCTCGCCATTGCTCCATCTGTGAGTTGCACCCTTCTATAGAAGTAAAAATTGCCTTGCTGAGAAAATTAAATTTACGTTCCAGTGCTATTTCTTCTGTGGCACCTAAAATTTATTTATAACAGGCCATGCAAAATTATTGTATTTTTCATCTAAAGTCAATGTGATTCACTGAAGAGTTTTAAACAGGAGGGTTATTTGATAAGAATTAGTATTTTTGATTGATTTATAATCTCCTTAAATAATATTATCTTTTTTCTCACCCATATGTGTAGTGTAAATGTTGAAATGTCATTGGACCCAGACTACATATTTTAAAATGTAGCCAATAGCATCTGTCAATGTATTGTACATAGTATGGGAGAAAAAGAAAGGTCAATGATTTCATGGGTTGAATCTGAGTAATTTGAATAATGAAACTAAAATTAACTGAGTTGAGGAAAAGAAAATTCTTATTTAGGAACTAGAATGATCAGAATATTATTCTTTGTCAGTTTATAATTTAATGCATTGTAGGCAAAAATCTAAATGGAGATAGTAAGCAATACCAAGATGAAAGAATCTGAATTTCAAGAGAAAGGTCTAAGGTCTGAGCATATATTTGGGAGTCATTAGCATATAAAGATTTTTTAAAACCGTGACATCAGATAAGGTATTTAAGCATATAAGTGCAGAATAGAACAGCTAGGGCCTGAGGCACTGTAACATTTAAGAGCTTCTCTGAGAGGAAGAAGAACAAACTAAAAAGGATGAGGAGGAGAAGATCCTGATGTAGAAAAAAAACCCTGAGAATGTGCTGTCTTGAAGCCAAATCAAGAAGGACAACATGATTAAATGCTGCAGATAAGTTAAGTAAAATGAGGCCTCAATTGACCCACAGAACTAGGAGCATGGATATAATTAATAACTTTTATAATAATTAGTTTAATGAAATGGTATTGATGACAGCCTGTTTAGAGGGGCTCAAGGCTAGGAGACAATGTGATAAACTATAGATCACTCTTTCAAGGTGTTTTATATGAAAGTTATGGTAGGCAGAATTCTGAGATGACTGATTATTTTGCCTAGGTGGTGTACCCGTTCTGTGTCATCTCTTCTTGTCGATTGTGGAGGGAAGTGTGAACACGATGGATTTCACTTCTGAAATTAGATTAGATTAGTTTAGATGAAAAAGGTGAAAGGATTTTGCATATGTAATCATGGTACCAAGTCAACATACTTTGAGTTCATCAAAAAGGAGATTATCCAGGTGGCCCTGGTGTAGTCAAGTTATCTTTAAAATGGATGAGGCCCCTCCCGAAATCAGAGATTCAAATTGTGAGAAAAATCCTTCTCCTTGCTTTGAAGAAAAAGTAAACTGACATGTAAGGAGAGGGTCTGTGAGAAGTACTCTTCTTGGAGGTTAGAGGGACTTCCAACCAGCTAGCAAGAAAATGAGTCCTACAACTACATGGAAAGGAATTCTGACAGGAAGTAGTGAGCTTGAAAGAGGATCCTGATGAGTCCCTTCCTTATATGAAATCATAGTCTCAACTGACATCTTGATTTTAACCCACAAAGATTCCAAGCAGAGGAACCAGTTAGTTCCTAACCCATAGACATTGTGAAATAATCAATTTGTTTTGTTTTAAGCCACTAAGTTGGTGGTATTTTTAAGTGTAGTGGACAATTCATATAAAAATAATTCAGAAAAAAGTACCATTAGCTGGAGAAGCTATGGAGGTCACAAGGGTTTTTCTTTTTAATTTGCCAGTATGTTGACAGTAAAATATTATGATGCAGGAAGTAAATGATTTGATATAATGCACAAATTGATGAGTTGACTTTACATGTACAATTTATAAAATGACAGAAAAGAAGGCAGAATATGTGGGTACAAATAGTAGTAGGTTATAATGTATGTAACATAATTTATTTAATGACATACCTTTTTCATTTAGATTGTTTCCAAACTCTTGCTCTCCTAAGAATGTTGCAATAATTAACCTAGGGTATAAATTATTTAACATATATGTGAATATATCTGTAGAGTAATTTACTAGAAGTAGAATCCTGGGTTAAAGGCACATGCCCAGTTTGAAAGCATTTACAAGCAAGCTCTTCAGTGGCGTTTGGATTATGCTTCCACACTTTCATATTTTTGCTGATTACATACGTATATACATACACACACACAGACACATATGTACATATATGTATGTATATACACACCTATACACACTTTAATTGTATTTCTTATTTATGAATTATATTAGGAATAGGAATATTTCATATCATTAAAAGCAGTTTGAATTTCTTTTTGAAATGAATGTTTATATACATTACCCATTTTGGGGGTAACCTTTTTCTTTATGTATAGGTAGATTAGTCTTCTCTATGATGAGTTAAGGCATTTTTCCTAGATTATAATTTTTGTATTATTATTACTACTATAATTTGCTATTTTTAAAGTAATCGAATATATTATATTTAATTTTGATATGATTTCTATATTATGTGTCATAATTTAGAAAGACCTTACTCGGAGATTATAAAAGTAATCCCAATGTTTTCTTCTGGGTTTTAAAAATGTAACCATTTTAATGTACATATCTTTTGTATTTAGAATTCTTCTTGGGATATTGAAAGGAGTATGGATGAAGAGATTTTTACGCAAGTTCCTCAACTTCATTTATTGACAAATCCATCTTCCAAATCACTGTTTCATTGATGAATATTTCCTTATTTCATTAATTTCTATTTCTATATTTAGTTTTCTCCTCAACTTATCTTTATTTTTCCTACCTTCTGGAGTATAACATTTAGCTGATTTATTTTAATTTTCCACATTTTTAAAAAATTTTACTTTAAGCTCTGGTATACGTGTGCTGAACGTGCAGGTTTGTTACATAGGTATATACATGCCATGTGGTTTGCTGCACCTATGAACCCGTCATCTAGGTTTTAAGCTCGGCATGCATTAGGTATTTGTCCTAATGCTCTCCCTCCCCTTGCCCCCAAACCCTCCAACAGGACCCTGTGTGTGATGTTCCCCTCCCTGTGTCCACATGTTCCCATTGTTTAACTCTCACTTATAAGTGAGAACATGCGGTGTTTGGTTTTCTCTTCCTGTGTTAGTTTGTTGAGAATGGTGGCTTTCAGCTTCATCCATGTCCCTGCAAAGGACATTAACTCATTCTTTTTTAGGGCTGCATAATATTCCATGGTGTATATGTGCCACATTTTCTTTATCTAGTCTATCATTGATGAGAATTTGGGTTAGTTCCAAGCCTTTGCTATTGTAAATAGTGCTGCAATAAACATATGTGTGCATGTGCCTTTATAGCAGAATGATTTATAATCCTTTGGGTATATTGCCAGTAATGGGATTGCTGGGCCAAATGGTACTTCTGGTTCTAGATCCTTGAGGAATCACCACACTGTCTTCCACAATGGTTGAACTAATTTACACTCCCACCAACAGTGTAAAAGAATTCCTATTTCTCCACAGCCTCACCAGCATCTGTTGTTTTCTGACTTTTTAATAATTGCCATTCTAACTGGCGCAAGATGGTATGTCATTGTGGTTTTGATTTGCATTGCTCTAATGACCAGTGATGATGAGCTTTTTTTCATATGTTTGTTGGCCACATAAATATCTTCTTTTGAGAACTGTCTGTTCATATCCTTTGCCTAATTTTTGATGGGATTTTTTGTTTTTTTTTTCTCATAAATTTGTTTAAGTACCTTGTAGATTCTATATATTAGATCTTTGTCAGATGGGTAGCTTGGAAAAATTTTCTCCCATTTTGTAGGTTGCCTGTTCACTCTGATGATGGTTTCCTTTGCTATGCAGAAGCTCTTTAATTTGATTAGATTCCATTTGTTAATTTTGGCTTTTGTCACAATTGCTGTTGGTGTTTTAGTCATGAAGTCTTTGCCCATGCCTATGTCCAGAATGGTATTGCCTAGGTTTTCTTCTAGGGTTTTTATGGTTTTGGGTTTTACATTTAAGTAATGTCCTCTCTTATTTCCTTGAGCAGTGGTTACTAATCCATCTTGAGTTAATTTTTGTATAAAGTGTAAGGAAGAGGTCCAGTTTCAGTTTTCTGCATATGGCTAGCCAGTGTTTTCAACACCATTTATTAAATAGGGAATGCTTTCCCCACTTTTTGTTTTTGTCAGGTTTGTCAAAGATCAGATGGTTATAGATGTGTGGTCTTATTTCTGATGTTTCTGTTCTCTTCTATTGGTCTATATTTCTGTTTTGGTACCAGTACCATGCTGTTTTGGTTACTGTAGCCATGTAGTATAGTTTGAAGTCAGGTAGCGTGATGCCTCCAGCTTTGTTCTTTTTGCTTAGGATTGTCTTGGCTCTACGGGCTCTTTTTTTTCCATATGAAATTTAAAGTAGTTTTTCTAATTCTGCAAAGAAAGTCAATGGTAGCTTGATGGGAATAGCATTGAATCTATAAATTACTTTGGGTGGTATGGACATTTTCATGATATAGATTCTTCCAATCCATGAACATGGAATGTTTTTCCATTTGTTTGTGTCCTCTTTTATTTCCTTGAGCAGTGTTTACTAATTATCCTTGAAGAGGTCCTTTACATCCCTTGTAAGTTGTATTCCTAAGTATTTTATTCTCTTTGTAGCAATTGTGAATGGGAGTTAACTCATGACTGGCTCTCTGTTTGTCTGTTGTTGGTGTATAGGAATCTTTGTGACTTTTGCCACATTGATTTTGTATCCTAAGACTTTGCTGAAGTTGCTTATCAGCTTAAGGAGTTTTTGGGCTGAGATGATGGGGTTTTCTAAATATACAATCATGTCATCTGCAAACAGAGACAATTTGACTTTCTCTCTTCCTGTTTGAATATGCTTTATTTCTTTCTCTTGCCTGATTGCCATGGCCAGAACTTCCAATAGTATGTTGAATAGGAGTGGTGAGAGAGGGCATCCTTGTCTTGTGCTGGTTTTCAAAGGGAACGTGTCCAGCTTTTGCCCATTCAGTATTAATTTTCCACATTTTAAAATAAAATTTCTCTATTACATCTTTGTGTGTATCCCACAAATTTAGATATGTGAAGCCTTTGTTGTCATTTAATCATAAATAATTCATATTTTTAACTTTTATTTTCTCTTTAAGATTGTGGTAAAAAGTCTCCAAAATAGCCCCCAAAGATTTCTGCCTCGTGGTATTTATGTCCTTATAAAAATTTCCCTTCCTGTGAGTGCATGAGGAAGGAGGAAGGTAGCCACTCCCTTCAAACGATTAATCATTGGGAAGCTATAGATGCCACTTCTGAGATTAGGTTACAAAGAGACTTTACCTTTGTCTTGCTCACTCTGTCTAGCTCTCTTGTTTGTTCATTCTGAGGGAAGCCAGCTGTCATATTGTGAACTTCCCTATCTACAGAACTACATGGCAGGAAATGATGTTTCTGGCAAATAGTGAGCACCTGAAGATTACCACAGTCACATGAGTGGACTTGAAAGTGAATTTTCTGAGACCTGGGGATAACTATTTGTGTGAACTTGAAAACAAATTCTCCTCTAGTTGAACCCTTAGGCTTTCAACTTTTATTATTATTTCCAACTTTACTTACATTACGAAACTACTATCCTTAATGTATTTTAAGTTTGTTTTATATTTTGTATTTTTTTAATTACCTTTTTCTGTACTCTAGGAAATTCTTATTGATTTTACAGCTCACTATTTTACTTCTCATCTTTCTTCAGTAAGCTAGGTAGTAAATCGATTTAAATATTTCTTAATAACAATTTCTGCATCATAACATTTTATTCTTGATTTGATTGCTTTCACTTCTTCACTCTATAGCAGACATTAAATTGATTTTTTAAAGTTCTTTTCAGATTGTTCTACTTCACTGTATGTCCTGAGTTATAATTCTTTATTTTGTTCAGCTTGGGTTTCCCTTTCACTGTGTTGCATTTCCTTTAGTACTTTGGGATTCTTGGTTGCAAGGTTATCTTCCCACATATATCACTTTCATATCTAGAGAACATAGTTATTTCACAGGTGTTCAGGTTTGTTCTTTCATAACACAAGGCTTCCAAAGCACGCTTTGCATGAATCACCCACCATTGGGTTCTTATCCCATCTGGAAAATTCATTTCTGGACTTATTTAATCAAATGCATGATACAAATCTACATCTGCTTCACACATAAGAGATCCTACTTGAGTTTCCAGCAAACAAATTTTATCCTTGTCCTTCATTGTGAAACTTTTATGAATGCTTCATAAAAACAATAACAACAATCAATCAAAGGTTCTGTTGCATTGGCCCTCAGTCCCTTGATGTTGATGACCAGAATGTTTAATAAATATAGTGCTTTATTTCTAGTCTATGGGAAAGTTTTTCCATCTGTTATCACTGTTACTAATTCTAAAATTTTCTACTTCTAATTTTAGTGCATTCATGATTAGAAAGATAGGTGGTCTTTTTGAAATTATGACAAACACAGTAGAAAATACTGAGCTAAATAAGTGCTTCCTTGGTGATGTCATTTGGCTGTGTCCCCACCCAAATCTCATCTTGGATTGTAGTTCCCACAATTCCCATGTGTTGTGGGAGGGACCTGGTGGTAGGTAATTGAATCATGGGGGTGGGTCTTTCCCATGCTATTCTCCTGATAGTGAGTAAGTCTCATAAGATCTGATGGTTTTATAAAGGGGAGTTTCCCTGCAGAAGTTCTTTTCTCTTGTCTGCCACCATGTGAGATGTGACTTTCACCTTCCACCATGATTGTGAGTCCTACCCAGCCACTTGGAACTGTGAGTTATTAAACCTCTTTCTTTTGTAAATTGACCAGCCTTGGGTATGTCTTTATCAGCAGTGTGAAAATGGACTAATACGCTTGGTGAATAGTCAAATCAAGTGTTAGGTTAAATGAAGTCAAATCAAAAGATGTACACATATCACATCTCCTTGTGTTATTATAGGCCTTTCTTGATTATTAAGTTCTCATTGATGCTCTGGATTGCTGAATATACAGGATAAGTGACCTTCAGATAAGAAAGATGTTACTGCTTTATTTTCTCTTCATAGGACACTTGAGACATGATTAAGCCATGAATGAAAGGTCAACATAGTTTCTACTGTAAAAATAAAATGCTGGCATATTTTCATTTTCATTTTTATTCCCATAATATTGAATGAAGATTGTTTATAAGACACATACACACATGCACACACATACACAATTTATGTTATTCTAGGTTCTGAACTTCAGCCGAGACACATTGGCTGAAATCCTCCTTAGCTTACTCAAATATTGGCTGAGACGATAATTTGTCCTCATTTGTTCAGTAGTAATTCAATCATAATTTTGCAAATTTGTCATTAAAAATCTATTTGTAAAGGTATTTAATGGCTATAAGAATAGTTAAGGATCAGCTCAACCACTTCATTTTAGTCACCTCTTTACTGAATCAATTTCAGATGATGCAAGGACCTTGAGGCCTAGTAATGAATGCTTAAGTAAGGACTGTGAGCACATTTAGTCCTTAAAGTGAAGAAATATTACCACTTAGTTACACTTAAATCAGAAAAAAAACCCATGAATAAAGATTAACTATCTTTTACTTTTTCACCATTTGTGAGCAGTAATAGTTAGCTATTATTACATCACTCTTTGCTAAGATGCTTACAATTCCTTTATACTTATAAATCAATGTAATGTAAGTTGGACTTTAGAAGTAAATAACGTCTCTGGTTAAAATGAAATACAGAGTGTGTTGTTCAACAGAGGAGTCCACAGAAAGGGAAACTCTAAGTGGTAAAAGGAGCTTTTCAATTGGTTTCCTTCCATCCTTTTCCCCTTGCTTGGTCTATTAGTTTTTTTGGGCTGCAGTAATAAACTACTACAAAGTTGGTGGCTTGAAAAATAGGATTCGAGTCTCTCACAATTCAGGAAGCCAGAAGTCCGAAATCAAGGAGTCAGCAGGGTTGGTTGCTTCTGTCATAATTCCACTCCATCAAAATGTTACCATTTTACCATAAGACTTTTTGCTATTCAGGCTCTGAGGGAAAAACTGTCCCATGCCTCTCTCCTAGCTTCCGGTGTTTGTCCACAGTCCTTGAAATTCCTTGGCTTATAGATACATCACTCCAGTCTCTGTCTACATTTTCATATCACTGTCTATTCCATGTCTTTTGTGTCCTTTCTGTCTTAAAATGGCACTTAGGTTGAGTTCTGAGCCAACTCTAATTCGGTACGATTTTATCTTGATGCTTATAATTACATTTACAAAGACCAAATTTCCAAATAAAATCACATTCTGGGGTTATGAGTAGACAAAAATTTTGGGATGACACAAAATTTAACTGACTATACATGAGATTTTTCTTTCACTGTTATCACCAACACTGGACCCATATTTTCTGTTTGTGTGTATGTGTGTGAATCCAGCCTCACTCTTTTAGTACAACTCTGCCTCCTTGGCTATAGCTGATTGGCTGAGTTTAAAACCTAAGTAGTCTATGACAATAAGCACCCCTCAACTGGGAACTTAAAATTGAATTAAGAAATCCCAACTCTATTGTAATGAAGGAGTTGTAAATAAGAGCTTTGAGTGATCACTTTCAGCCGTGTGGACCAAATTAAAAAATAGTTGGCACACAGAGAGAGAAGAATGATGCCAAGAATAACAAGAAGGCAAAAGCCAGAGAGGGAAGAAGAATTTCCCTTTCTTGTTCTGATTTTCAGTCTCTAATACATTGTTTAGGTCTTATAATCAACCTCCCAAAACCATCTTTTGCTCTTGAAAGTGAAGTTTCTTACTTGATCCTGAATAGATCTAAACTTTTTTTTTTTTTTTGAGATGAAGTCTCGCTCTGTCGGCCCAGGCTGGAGTGCAATGGCATGGTCTCAGCTCATTGCAACCTCCACCTCCCAGGTTCAGGTGACTCTCCTGCCTCAGCCTTCTAAGTAGCTGGGATTACAGTTGTGTGCCACCAGGTTCAGCTATTTTTGTATTTTTTGTAGAGATGGGGTTTCACCATGTTGGCCAAACTGGTCTCGAACTCCTGACCTCAAGTGATCCTCCCACCTCAGCCTCCCAAAATGCTGGGATTACAGGTATGAGCCACTTGGCCTGGTCTTGGTCTAATATTTCATGGAATCCTAGTATAAATATTGACAAATATTATATATGTGAAGCATATGCCTGTGGCCAGCTAGGGAGAAAGTGAAGTTAAGTGAAACTTAAAGGAAGATGCAAACCGAGAATTTAGTCTAAGCCTCTCAGACCAGTGACATCTCATTCTAGAAATGTGATTTGCTTGGTGTTTGGAAGGTTCTCTTCTTTTTTCATTTTCTTTATATATCTCATTCTTTGTGATATACACACACAAGTTAGCCCACAGACTGCTAGCAGAGCTCCAGAAAGGTGAGTATTTATCTGTTTGATATAACATTAAAAATATTTACAAATACAAATACTATGAAAATTATGCTGAACATAATGGGAGGAATTGTTAATATTTTATGAATCCTCAAATATGTAGAATGACTCACAATCATTACAACATATCTATAATTCAACAGCTGACTAATTACAAGATTCTATTAATATCATGAAACAGTATGGAGAATCACATGTATGCCAGGCTTCAACATATGAAGCTTACAGGATATAGTAAAGACAAAATTGGAAATCTTAGGGAATGTGGCAGTGGCCAAATTATGGAACATAAAAAACTACCTTCAAAAATAATGGTTAAGATTTATTGAACACTCAGTATGTGCCTGATACCATCGTACAAATTTCTGTTTTAATTCATTTAGTCTTTAAAATAACCCATATAAGATGATTATATGTTATTCTCATTTCTTGATGAGAAAACTAAGGCATCAAATGGTTAAGTGAATCATTGATATCATAAAACTGGGAAGTAGTGGGAAAAATATTACAGCCTAGTCAGTATCTCTCCCAAGCCTGAGTATATAACTGTTCTAATGATCTTACATATCTGATAAGGAGTATTGGAATTTCCAGTTTACTCTAGCTGATAAGTCTTCCCAGAGTCTTACCATTTAAACTTAGTCTTTAAGTAAGGAATTTATTAAGATTAAAAATTTGAGTAGGTGCAGGCTGGAAGGAAGGAAAAACAGGTGTAAAGGCACAAATAGTGAACAATAGGGGGCATATTTTTCAATAAGAAGAAAATGGGGAAGAAGATTTAAGCTCACTAATGAGACCAATATGGACAAAACTGATGGTAAACACCAATAACTGTAAGCTATGTTTTAAAAATGTTTTATTTATTTGTATTTCCACTGCATTCATAGTATTTTAATATTTTTACTTTTAGTGTCAGTTTAGTTTAATTTCTATTTTTAATTTAGCAATCCTTACTTTAACAGTTAGCTATAAAATGAACCCAAAAAGCAATGCATGAATTCAACATACTTGTATTCTCCTATTGGACATGCTTAGTAGAAAGAGAGTTCTAATATTTAAAAATGTATTTAGTGTTTATATTTTAATTATAATGCATTTCAAGTAAAGAATATTATGCATTATCTTTTTACACTACAAAAACTTTTCCACATGAATACACCCGTATAAGCAGCACCCACATCATGAAATAGAGCACTACCAGCCTTTCCAAAAGCCCCTCTGAGTACTCTCTCAGTCACTACATTCCCAAAGGTGTTTCCCGACTTCTTAAACCATAAATTTGTTGTGCATATTTTTGTACTTTATATAACTGGAATCATACATTATGTACTCTGTGTGGTTTCTTCCACTCAACCTTGTGTCTGTGAGATTAGTCTATGTTGTTGACTATAGTATTGATCACTTTTAATTTATGATAGTCCTTCACTTAACATTTTTAGCAATTTAAATCAATTTATTTTAAAATTTCTGTCAATCTATTTTATAAAATTTATTTTATCAGGAGTGGGTACATTTTTGGCTATTGATTGGGTTAACTTGACAAGCATTATATTTTTCGTGTATTTTTGAATTTTGTGTTTTAGGGTTATTATGAGAGAGGTTTTCTAAGTTTCTTCCACTTTCCTTTCTTGGTAGGGTGGTAGTGACCTTAATTTCCTCAGATCTTCAGGCCTCCAATCCCAAACCAAGTCTCCCCATAATATTTTTGTACTCCTACTCACCTGTTCAATTGGTTGTTTTTATTTTCCTAAAAGGATTGTTTCACAACCTTCCTTACCTAAAGAATGTAGCTGTTAAAATTTGCATTTTTATTGCTAAATACTTTTGGCCTAAGTTAATGCTATTGTTTTTCAGACGTGGGACATTTTATAAAGCTAAACATGAACTCCAAATAGATTCAGTAATCAAGTAAAATTAAAACATAAAAATAAATTTTGTTCAATTCTGATTCCTTGGTATTATCTTGATAAAAGGGTATAGATAAGTTATAACAAGTAAATAATACCTTGTGCTTCAATTTGTCCATATTACTTTAGTGACTAGGAAATCATTGCCAGAAGTGCTAAAAAAAAAAAATAAACTTAGGGCAGAGTGTATTCCTGCAGAATTTATTTCTAGGATTATAGAGCCAAGAGTTTAAATACCAAGCACTAAGTTGAATAGCTCTTTGACCTCTTGTAAGGACAACCCCATCATTTTCCCCCATCTCCATGAATACAAATAATTTTAACTCTAGGGAGGCTGTCTTTCTCAATTCGCAAAACAAACGAGGCTCGAAAATGATCCATTCTAACTCAGCGCAGACAAAAATGACTCTCTGAACCTCAAGAGATCTGACTCAAAACACAGGTAATTTTCCACCTGGCTAAGAGGAGCTTTCTGACTCAGTGGTTCATCTTGAAGCTGATTTCTTCCAGGAGTGAAACATAAAACATGTGGTTGGTTACTAGGGTGGAGCAGGCGTCAGAGCAGGCCCTGAATTACCAGGATTCATTTTCTTTGGTGGAATTGTTTTGAGAGAAATGCTTACCACATCTTTTGCCTCCATATCATCAGTATTTTAATTTTTAGAGGATTTGTAATGAATGGAAATCTTAGCCTCCCTATCATCAGTATTTTAATTATTAGAGGATTCGTAATGAATGGAAATCATGGTAAGATTTCCTATGAACCCAGCATTTTTGGGTTATTATTTACATAATACCTCTAGCATAGAAACTTATTTTACACTTAAACATCTTATAAGAAGCCAAATGTGTACTTGCAATTTTATGTTTCAAAACAATTTTGTTCAGTAGCAGCCAATCTCACACACACAGGATTTAGTCATCCATGTTCTCACAGAGGCTAGTGCCAAGAACAGTGCTTGCCACTGATCAATTTGAAATTGGAAATACAGTCATACAGTGGTAGTGGCTGTGGGCATTAGAAAGTTTTGAAGACTGAAGAATTTAGTAGAGCTTTTCAATATGAATTTTTTTAGCATGCAACCGAGATCAAAATTATAGTAGACTCATTCAGACACAAAGAGACAATAGGAGGAAAAAGAAAAAGTTACCATCTTCCCATAGTCAGATGTATCTGTGTAGCTACCACTCAAGCAACCCAGATACAAGATATCCACAGCCAATTTCTTTTTTCCATTTCAAACATGCTCTTCACCTATGTTTCTGATGTCTAATTGAATTATCATGCACCATTCACCAAATAAACTATCAGAGTAGTATTGTTTTCCCTTTTTGTACCTTCCCTATAAACCATCTTCGGCACAATTTAATTTTGAAGTTTCTCTCAAATTTATCTCTTTTCCCTCTATTTTTACTACTGTGCTCTCAGATAAGATTATATCCTTTCAGGCAACCAAATGTCTCAGTCTCCGAGATGGCCTCTCTTTTCTAGTTCATTGTCTGCACTATTATCAGAGGTGTTATTCTATTTGATAATGTAAAATTTCAATGAATTCTCCATGTCTATGGAATACAACACTCTTCTCAGCACATGTATAATCTTTCAACACATATTCTAAGTTCCCCAGAAGCCCTGTATATTAAACCATCCCAAATTAGTATATAATTTTTTGAATTTTCCATAGTTTTCTATATTTATATTTTGACGTTTCTCCTATTTTTGCATAGAAATTTTTTCTTTGCATCTTATAGATTAGCTCCTGCCCAGTAAAACTTCCTAGCTTCTAGTATTTTTGATATATCTCTATTATAACTGTATTTTATATTTATATGTCTCTATTATAACTATAATACAGTATTATAACTGTATTATTCTGTATTTATTTGTAGGTTTACTTTTCTATTGCTCCCCACTACATTGTGACCTACTTAATAACTATCTTTTTTTAATACTGTTATTTTTCCTTTGATTTTCCTACTTTCAGAATTCTAGTAGAGCCTCTGGCAAATTATTGGTGTTAACATACATTTAACTGAAGAAATAATAACTTAGGTAGACAGGGGAAAAAAACAAAGATAAAGAAAAATTGTCATGTTAATATAATTTAAATGCTGAGTGGATTACAGTCTAGTTAATTATTAGATGGTTAAGGACAAACAATTCTAGGATATTGGTGATTCCATTTCATATAACCACATAATATTCTATATTTATGACAACTCATCTTTGTCAATTACCTTTTCCTATGTGTTAAAAGATGGAGAGATGACCGTAAATTGGTGCCACTCATTTGGACAAGGCTACAAAAAAGATATAAAAAGGTAATTGTTAGCATCTTTCTATCTTTTAACTTTTCCATGTCTCTAAAGAATTTGTATTTGTCAAGATTTTCAGAGAAACAGAACCAGTAGAGGAGAGAGGGAGAGAAGGAGAGAGAGAGGCTTATTAAAAGGAATTGGCTTATGTAATTACGGAAGCTGAGAAGTCTCATGATCTGCAGGACCCCAAAAAGCCAGGGGTATCATTCAGTCTGAGTCCAAATGTCTGAGATCCAGGGGAGCCACTGGTGTAAATACTAATCCAAGGGCCAGAGAACTTGTGGTGAGATATCCCAGCTCGAGCATGCAGACAGGAAGCAAAAGGGGCAAATTCCTCCTTCCTCCAACTTTTGTTCTATCCAGGTTCTCAGTGGATGATGCACACCCACATTAGAAGGAGCAATCTACATTGCTGAGTTCATTGATTCAAATGCTAATCTTGTTCTGAAATATCCTCAAAGACACACGCAGACATGACACTTAATTGGGCCCCATGTGCCTGGTCAAATTGACACATAAAATTAATCGTTACAGAATTTAAGGGAGAAATTGCCCAGTAATTTAATTTAGAAGGTTAATATTGTGTATATTTAAATAAAAATGCTGCTCAACTATACTTACCATGTTCCCTTTGCATCAAGGTCAAAAAAGACCTTGAGGCAGTGACGTCACCAAGATAAGATAGCAGAGTAAAGCCTTCAGCCCCCGCCCCCCTCACTCACAAATATAGACAACCATTCAGAAAATAAAATAGCCCTGAGAAGGCTTAAGAGCCCATCAGATTATCTGCAGCAACACAGTGGGGCAAAAAAAAAAAAAAAAATGGAGAATATCAACATAGAAAAATCACTGATGAGACTGACATACTTGAGATACCAAGAGATGGCTAGGAACAAAGAAGAAAGTCAGGGACTAAAAATATCAGCTATGATTCCCAGCAGCCTTCACCACAGAAGACACAGAGGACACTAGCTTTCTTTTCCAAGAAGCAATCGACAGCCATTTCTGCCAAGGAACCCCAGAGAAAGAGACAAGGCTAAATACTCCTCCCTCCCCAAGAAGCAGCCGCTATTGAGACGCCTACACTCCAGACCCAAGAGTGTCAGAAACGCCTGCACTCCAGACCCAACAACTGTGTATGCACTGTGCCTGCCCTGTGCCTGCCTTTGTTTAAGATACCAGAGCCAACATCTTAGAAGACTAGGCCCCACCCAAAGCCTAAAGCCCCTATAACTCTCTGCATGTCTATGCTCCCATTCATGGCCCTTTGCTGCCTCAAGCACCTTGCATACTGTCACCAATGGCACTATTACCCAGATGCCTGTACTCTGGGCAACAGTGTCATTATCACCCTGTACCCCAGAGCCAAAGTCCTTCCACAGGTGCCTGTGCTTTAGACCTCAGCACCATGGCTGCTTCACAGGTGCCACTCGTCAAACATTGGTGCCACCACCACTGTGAGTCCACAAGCGAGACCCAGCACCAGGAGGAATCCCCTTAATTACAACTTCCATGGTGGAAGACAATGAGATTGGAGGGACCATAGCACCCATCACCAAAGACCTCAACAACATTCACTACCACTATAGACATCCACAGCATTGGCCATTGAGGATCCTAGCAATCTTTGTCAACACTGACCTCAACTGACAGAGCTGTATCTTTGCTGGTGCCAGAACCACTGGACCCCAGCCAGCACGTGCCCTCAGAGCCCCCATAGAGAAAGTCTTTCCACAGAAAAACTGGTCTTTAAAGTCTAAAAGAGAGGTGACTTCTTCACCAAATGGACAGGCTTCAAAGTAGGGCAACAAGAAATGTGAAAAAAAAAGTGACATAACACCACCAAAAGAACACACTGATTTCCTAGGAGCTAATTCCAAATAAACAGAGATATGCAAACTGTCAAGAATTCAAAATTATTGTTTTAGGAAGCTCAGCAAACTTCAGAAAAAAAAATTCAACAAACTCAGAAAAACAATATATAAACAACATTAGATATTTAATAGACTGATAAAATTCATTTTTATAAAATTAAAATTCTGAAACTGAAAAATACAATGAAATTAGAAACAGAATATAGGGTATCTACAGCAGAATGCATCAAGCAGAAGAAAGAATCTGCTGATGTGAAAACACTGAAATGCAGAGGCAAAAAGAGGAAAAAAATAAAAGAAATGAAAAAAAAAGTTTATGGAACACCATAAAAAGAACAAATATTCAAATTATAGGTGTTAAAGAAAAAGAAGACAAAAGCAAGAGGCCAGAAAGATTATTTAAATAAACAATAGCATAAAATTTTCAAATCTGGAGGAATATATAAATATCCTGATACAAGAAGGTCAAAGGTCGTTAATCAAATTTAATCTAAATAGGATTACTGGACAGGTTATTACATCACACTGTCAAAAATCAAAGCCTAAGAGAAAATCTTGAAAGCAGCAAGAGAAAAGAAGGAAATCACATATAAGGAAATTCCAACAAAGATAATAGTGAACTTCATACAAGGAAATTCCAATAAAGATAACAGTGAAGCAAATCGCATATGAGGAAATTCCAATAAAGATAACAGTGAACTTCATATAAGGAAATTCCAATAAATATAACAATGAAGCAAATCGCATATGAGGAAATTCCAATAAAGATAACAGTGAACTTCATATAAGGAAATTCCAATAAATATAACAATGAAGCAAATCACATATAAGGAAATTCCAGTAAAGATAACAGTGAAGATATCTTACAGGCCAACAGGAAAAAAGGTGACATATTTAAAATGAAGGAAAATACCACAGCAAACCACTAGAGATGATTATCTAACAACAAAGGAAGACAAGAGAGGAAAGAAGAACAAAGGATCTACAAAGCAAACAGAAAACAAATATAAAAAACAACAGTAGTAAATCCTTTCTATCAATAATTACCATGAATGTAAATGGATTAAATTCTCAAATATAAAGACATAGAGTGGCTGAATAGATAAATAAACAAGACCCAACTATATGCTGCCTATAAGTGATTCAATTTACCTTTAAGGACACACACAGATTGAAAATAAAGGTTTGTACAGAGATATTTCATGTAAATGGAAACCAAAAGAGAGCAAAGGTAGTTTTATACTTAGATAAAATCGACTTTACATCAAAAACTGTAAAATTAGATAAAAAGGATAATTATATAATTATAATGAAATCAATCCATCAAGAATATATAACAACTGGAAATCTATATGCACCTGATATCAGAGGACCTAACAACGTAAGCCAAATATTAATAGATCTGAAAGAAGAGCTAAACTGCAGTATAATATTAGTAGGCAACTTCAACAATCCACTTTCAACAATAGTCAGATTATTGAGAGAGAAAATCAGAAAGGAAACTGTGGACTTGAGCTACACTTTGGCCCAAGTAGACCTAACAGACATATACAGAACATTCCATTCAAGAGCAGTAGAATACTCTCTGCAAGTGCTGACAGAACATTATTCAGGATAGATCATATGTTAGGCCACAAAGCAAGCCTTTCTAAATTCAGATGAATGAGATGATACCAAGTATTTTTTTTCCAACCACAATGGTATGAACTAGAAATGAAAATAGAGTGAATTCAAGAAAATTCACTAATGTGTGGAAATTACACCACGTGCTCATAAACAACTGACAAGTCAAAGAATAAATTAAAAGTGAAATTTTTAAAAATAGGACAAATGAAAATAGAAACACAACATGCCAAAAATTATGAGATGCAGCAAAAGCAGTTCTAAGATAGAAATTTGGAGCAATATACTACATTTTTTAAAAAGTAGATAGAAAGGAAAGAAATATACCAAATAACTTTATGTTAAATCTCAAGGAACTAGAAAATGAAGAACAAACTAAGCCAAATGTTAGTACAATAAAGGACATAATAAAGATCACAGCAAAAATAACTAGAGTAGATATTAGAAAGCAACAGAAAAGGAAACAAAACTAACACTTGTTTTTTTTTAAAAACAAAGATAAACAAAATCAACAAACCCATAGCTAGACTAAGCAGGAAAAAGCAAGAGGACTCAAATTAATAAAATTAGAAATATAAGAGAAGATAGTGAAACTGATACCACAGAAATACAAAAGATCGTAAGACATTATGGTTAATAAATTATAGGCCAACAAATTGGATACCTAAGAAAAAATAGATAAACTCCTAGGCACATATAACCTACTAAGATCAAATTAAGAAGAAATAAAATTTCTGAGCAATAATGAATAAGGAAATTTAATCAATAATAATATCTCAAGAGAGAAAAGCCTCAAACCTGATGGATTCACAGCTAAGTTCTACCAAATATTAAAAAAAAAAACAAAACTAATACTAAACATTCTCAAACTTTTCCAAAAAATTGAAGATAAGGGAATACATTCAACCTCATTTTATAAAGCCAACATTATTCTTGTAACAAAGCCAGACAAGGGCACTACAAGAAAAGTATCCATCAGTATCCATGATGAATAAAGGTGCAAATACAATCAACAAAATACCAGTGAACCAAATTCAACAGAGTCTTAAAAGTATCATTATCCTTGATCAACATATACAAATCAAAAAATGTGATACACCACATTAACAGAGTAAAAATCAAAAATCATAAAGTCATCCAAATATATGCAAAAACACATTTGACAAAATGCAACAGTTTTTGACAAAAAATCTCAATAAATTAGATACAGAAGGAATATACCTCAACACAATAAAGGCCATAAAACAGAAACTCATAGCTAACATCACACTTGATGGTAAAAAATGGAAAGTTTATTCACTAAGATTATGAACAACAGAAGAATGCCCACTCTTAACACTTCTATTCAACATAGTACTGGAAGTTCTAGCCAAAGAAATTAGACAAGAAAAAGAAAAAAGTTTCTTAGTTGTCCAAGTTAGAAAGTAAAAGGTTAAATTATGTATGTTTGTTGACAGTATGATCTTATACATTGAAAACCCTAAAGGCCTCTCCAAAAACGCTGTTAGAAATAAACAAAATCTGTAAAGCCATAGCATATAAAATCAACATACAAAAATAATAGTGTTTCTATATACTAGAAACAAGCCACTTAAAAAACTAAGCAAGAAAACAGTCTCATTTACAATAGCTACACAAAATAAAATATTTAGGAATTGATTTAAATGACATAAAAATCTTCACACTGAAAACTGGAAAACATTGATGACAAATTGACAAAAAGAAATGGAAATATATCCTATGTTCATGGACTGGGAAAATTATTATTAAATTTCCATTCTACCCACAGCAGTGTACAGATTTAATAAAATCCTTATCAAATTCCAGTGAAATATTTTTCACAGGAATAGAAGAGAATTCTAAAATTCATGTGGAACCTAAAGACACCTCCAATAACCAGAGAAATCTTAAGCAAAAAGAACAAAGCAAAGGCTTCACACTACCTGACTGCAAAATCTACTACAAAGCTGTAGTAATTGAAACAGCATGATACTTGAATAAAAGCATATACATAGACCAATGAAATGGACTAGAGAGCCCAGACATAAACTCACACATTTATGGTCAATTTATTTTTGACAAAGATGTCAAGAACACACAATGGGAAAAGGAGAGTCTCTTTAATAAATGATTCTGGGAAAGCTATATATCCACAGTCAGAAGAATAAAGTTAGACCCCCATTTCCCATCTTGTACAAAAATCAGATTAAAATTGATTAAATACTTTAGAGTAAAACTGTAAAGATATTTGGAAAAATGGGAAAAATATTATGACATTAGACGATGTTTGGAGTATGAGTCCCAAAGCACAACCAACAGAAGCAAAAATAGACATATTGGATTACATTAAAAATTTTCTGCATAGCAAGTGAAATAACAGAGTGGAGACACAACCTATAGAAAGGGGGAATACATTTGCAAACCACATATCAACAACTTGAATGAAAACTAGGCAAAGAAACTTAGTAGACATTTTTTTCCAAAGAACACATTAAAAGAACAAATATATGAAAAGGTACTCAACAGCACTAATCATCAGGGAAATTTACATTAAAATCATAATGATATATCATCTCATACCTGTTTGGATGGCAATTGTCAAAATGTCAAAAGAAAACAAGTATTGGAGAAGGTATATAGAAAAGAGAACCCTTGTATGCTGTTGCTGGAATGTAAATTTTTACAGCTATTATGGAAACAGTATGGAAGTTTATCAAATTATTAACAATAGAAATGTAATATGACATAGGCATTCCTGTTTTGGGTATACACCCAAAGAAAATAAAATCAGGACTTTGTAGAGATATCTGGACTCCCGTATTCACTGTAGCACTATTCACAAGCGCCAAGATATGGAAACAAACTAAGCATCTATTGACAGATGAATGCATAATGAAAATGTGGTATATATACACAACGGAATGCTATTAAGCCTTTCAAAAAAGGAAATCTTGTCATTTGTGACAGAATGAACCTCCTGGGCATTATATTCAGTGAAATAAGCCAGGCACAGAAAGATAAATACCAAATAATCTCACTTATATATGGAATCTAAAAAAGTTGAACCTGTAGAAACACAGTAAAATGGTGGTTGCCAGAGACTGGAGGTGAGGCTTTGTAGACAGTTGTGGTCAAAGGACACAAAATTTTATTTAGATAAGAGGAATAAGTTCAAGAGATCTATAGTACATCATACTGACTATAATTAACAATATATTGTATATTTTACAATTGCTGAGAGTAGACTTTTGTGTTCTCACCACAAAAAAAATGCAAGTTAGTGCATATGTTAAATAGCTCATTTAACTATTCCAGAATGTATACATATATAAAAAATCATGTTGTACACCACAAATATATATGATTTTACTTGTCAATTATTAGAAGAAAAGACTTTGACTTTAACAAGCACAAGTTAGGAAATGATGAGTTTCCATATATACCAAAAAGACAAATACACCTTGCTATATTTATAATCTGTTTATTTAGCTCTGTCTGTAGTAGGACATAAATGTCTGCATGATTTTATCTTCATCATTATGTTTTAAAATGCATTAAATGGGAAGACAATATTTCCAAAGATTCTAGCCCTTACCTATAAGCTCTTAATTTTATTCATTTCATAATGTGCTCTTGAAGCAAACAGAAAATCAAAATTAATGAGAAGCTTTAAAATTTCATGTTTGTTAACATAATTTTAATTTTCAAATTTAAAGTCTGTAGCCACTCAGTGCTTTTTTTTTTGACAAATTAGTGTCAAGCAATAGAGTGACTTTGGTGGTGGTAAAATATAAATTTACACAGAAATGCTTGGCATTGTCACTCTTTTATTACAATATCAGTTCATCATCTTTTACGTATTTAGGTTTTAATTGCATTGGAAGGTAGTGTTTCTAGTTATATAATTTTTCTCACAATATATCCAGGTGCATGTTTATATTATCAGCTGAGTTTATATTCTTCTACAGATGATTTTTTTCTACTTCAGATGAATACCATATGGGTGCTGCAGTAATGCGTTTGTGTGTGTTTGTGTGTGTGTGTGTGTGTGTGTATATGTTTTGTGTAAACTTTATAATTTTTTTTTTTTATTTTACTTTAAGTTCTGGGATACATGTTCAGAATGTGCAGGTGTGTTACATAGGTGTAAATGTGCCATGGTGGTTTGCTGCACTTAACCCGTCATCTAGCTTTTAAGCCCCGCATGTATTAGGTATTTGTCCTAATGCTCTCCCTCCCCTTGCCTCCCAACCCCCGACAGGCCCCAGTGTGTGATGGTCCCCTCCGTGTGTGTCCATGTGTTTTCCCTGTTCAACTCACACTTATGAGTGAGAATATGCGGTGTCTGGTTTTTCTGTTCCTGTGTTAGGTTGCTGAGGATGATGGTTTCCAGCTTCATCCATGTCCCTGCAAAAGCTTTGAATTTATTCTTTTTCATGGCTGCATATAATTTGTTTTCATTTTAATGAATTAGCTTTTAATATTTTTAAGTGAAAAAATAAGCCTGAATAGCCATCAGTTCAACTGACTGCTCAATTTTCCAAAAACTAGAGAATCTGTGCTTAGGGAACTTAGTCATTGAAAGGTATCATGCTATGGTAAAGGACATATATTTAGCCAGGCTCTCTGAGAAGAAATTAGAAAGAAAGACTTCCTCATCAAACCTACAATTTCTTTTATTTCTAGTTTCTGTGGTCTTAAAGAGTGGTATCAGACACATCATGTGTGGGAAGCAAATCTTTTCCTCATAAGTTTATTTCACCTGTGCCATAGAGTAAACGTTGTAATACCTTCATGTGTATGTGCTTCTCTTCTTTTCACCCACAGTTCAGCAGATGAATTGTCTGAGCACCAGACAATTGATTTCTCCCACTTCCAACAGTGTGCAGAGTGGCATTCAGAATTTAGAGGACGGTGTTGAGTAAATTCAATATTTACCCATTTTTTTAAATGTCTAACTCTACTTGTCTTGGCGGATTATTTCTTATTTAAATCAAAATAGGTAATCATGAAATATAGAAGTAGCCTTGATATTCACTAAATGAAATACTCACTTAGAAGATTCACTGAAATCCCAATCTTTCCCCTACAATGTTAACATTTTCTAAAATTAAAAGATAGCTTTATAATTAAAGTATGGTTTGAGATGTGAGTCAGTTTAAAAGTATTATTTCTTGAATCACTTTTACAAATTCCATTTTTAAAAGCAAAGAAATTCACTTCAGTCATTAAAAATTTTCAAAGTATTAAGATTATACTCTACAACAAATTGATTTTCTGTTTGCCATTTCCTAGATTGATATTTACAGTTAACCATTAAACAACACAAGCTTGAACTACAAGGGTCCACCTCTAGATAATTTTTTAAATAAATGTAATGGAAAAATTTGGGGCAATTTGCAACAATTATTAAAAACTCACAAACTGTGTAGCCTAGAAATAAAAAAAAGAAAAAAGAGTTATGACATGAATGCCTATAATATATGTAGATATTAGTTTATTGTATCATTTATTACCATCAAGTACACACAAGTCTATTATAAAAGTTAAAATTTATAAAAAATTTATACACACACTTCAAGATCATACCTGGTGCTATTCACAGTGGAAAGAAATATTAACAAACATAAAGGTGCAGTATTAAATCATAACTGCATAAAATTAACTGTAGTAATACTGTATTACTAATAATTTTATAGCTACCTACTGTTGCTACTTTTGAAAGCTGAATGTGATAATCTGGCTTAGTCACAGGAGTTTGGCATGGTGATGGGCACTGTGCCCCTACTGTGGCGTCACTTCAATGTCATTCTCTTCTAGAAACCCTGCAGTCAGGGCAGCATTCTAATGGAAGAGAGGGCCCTATCAAGCCAACGGGAAGGCTGGATGTATCTGTTGAGTAGCCACTTAAAATGCTGCATGATACTAATAATCTCTGCATGAAGAGTTCATCTCTACAGTAAATTGTGTATCACAGTAAGAAGGTATCTCTTGTAATACTCATGGATTTTTTAAATCATGTTTAGTGCAATGCCATAAACCTTGAAGAGCAACATGGGGACCCACATGAAGTGCCACTAGTGATTCTGGAATTGCTTCTAACAGGCAAAGTCATGACATTAGAAGTAAAAATTGAATTGCTTGATATGTACCATAGATTGAGGTCCATAGCTGTAGTTGCTATTTTTTGATAAGCAAATCTAATGTAAGGGCTATAGCAGAAAAAAAAAGTTAGGAAATTAACGGAGCTGTTGATGTAGCTATACCAGCAGGCAACAAAACACTGCACTTTTTGCAAAATACCTTTTTATTTCATATCAAAAATGCAGCTTTTTGATATGTGGGTGCATGATTGCTATAAGAAAGACATACATATAGACTCTAATATGATTCAAGGAAAAGTGAAGTCATTATATGATAACTTAAAGAAAGAGAAGGTGAATTTAATGCCAGCAAAGGATGGTTTGATAATTTTAGAAAGAGGTTTGGCTTAAAAAAAAAATGTCAACACCATAGAAGCAGCTTCTGCCAACCAAGAGGCAGCAAAGTTCCCAGACAACATTAAGAAAATCATTGAGAAAAAAATATATCTGCTTGAACAAGTTTTTAATGCAGATAAAAGGGGACAGAAGCCACAAAAGACATTTATTAGTTAGAAAGAGGAGTGGGCACTAAGATTTAAGGCAGAAAAGGATAGGCTAACTCTACTGTTTTGTGCAAATGCATCAGGTTCATTATCAAGACTGGCCCTATCTATAAAGCTTCTAACCCCTGAGCCATGAAGGAAAAAGATAAATACCAGCTGCCAGTCTTTTGGTTGTACATTAAAACCTAGACAATGAGAACGCTTTTTCTGCATTGGTTTCATTGCTTCCTTGTCACTGAAGTCAGGAAGTACCTTGCCAGTAAAGGGCTACCTTTTAACATCCTTTTGATATTGGACAACTCCCATGGTCACGGAGAACCTCATGTGCTCCATGCTGAAGATGTCAAGGAGGCCCATTAGCTCCCAAGATCAATGTCTCTAATTTAGCCTACGGATCAAGGAGTTATAAAAACCTTAAGGCTCATTACAGAAGGTACTCTGCGGAAGACTGACAACGCTATGGAAGAGAACCCTAACAGAGAAAACATCATGAAAGTCTGGAAGGATTGCCCCTTTGAAGATGGCATCATTATTATACAAAAAGCCATGAAAGCCACTGAGCCTGAAACAATAAATTCTTGCTGGAGAAAACTATATACAGATGTTGTGCGTGACTTCATAAGTTTTATGACAGTTAATCAAGGAAATAATGAAAGAGATTGTAGATATGGCAAAAATGGTGAGGGATAAAGGGTTTCAAGATATGGATCTTGGAGAAAGTCAAGAGCTTATAGACATAACACCAGAGGAATTAATAAAAGATGACTTAATGGAGATGAGTGCTTCTGAACCAGTACAAGAGAATGAGGAATAAAACATAGAACAAGCAGCATCAGAAAACAAGTTGACATTAGACAATTGACAGAAGGATTCAGATTATTTAGACTACTTTTGGCTTCTTTTATGATATGGACTCATCTCTGACATGGACACTGAAACTAAAGCAAATGGTGGAAGCAAATGGTGTTGGAGCCTTATAGAATAATTTTTAGAGAAATGAAAAAGTAAAACAGTCAGAAAGAAATTAATATGTTTTTCTGTAAAGTTACACTGAGTGTGCCTATCTCTTCTGCCTTCTCTTACACTTCTTTCACCTCTTCTGCCTCTGCCAACTCTGAAACAGTAAGACTAACCCTTTTCTTTCTCCTCCTAATTAGCCTACTCAATGTGAAGGTGATGAGGATGAAGACCTTTATGACGAGCCAGTTCCACTTAATGAATTGTTAATATATTTTCTCTTCCTTATAATTCTCTTAATAATATTTTTTCTAGCTTACTTTGCTGTAATGCCAAGTCTGTCCTGCAGACTCTGGCCAAGCAATGAATGAAAGAAGCTCTCAGACACAGAAACCCAGTGAAAGAGCAGGCTAGGGGAATGCTAGCACTAGGGGCCAAAGACAGTTAGCAACTCCCTAATCTGGCAATGCTCGCATTTATTTAGTACAGATTTAATGACAAAGGCTTAGAGTAAAGACAATTTGTGGGTAATAAACATTGCTGACATCCCAAGTAGAGAGCAGTCCTGCGCACAAATGATCAAAGGCTGGTTTTAGGACAACAGAGTCATTATATGATAACTTAAAGAAAGAGAAGGTGAATTTAATGCCAGCAAAGGATGGTCATAGTATAGTTGTTACTGGAATTATGATATGTCCCATGTCCCAGGTGCCATAAAGTGTCTTGGGGTGGCATGGACTCTACTTGGGGTCTGGGATATCCTATCCCTGCATCAGCCCAAATTATAGGGGAACTAGACTTGGCTATGAAACTGTGATTGATGCCACAATGGATGTTGACATCAGTATGGTCACTCTGCAAATGGCAGTGGGGGCTCCAGTCTAAGATGTTATAATTGCCTAACTGGAGGCTACGGGCTTGTCCCCTGTGACAGACCTCCCAGCCAAGTGAAATCAATAACTTTACTGACTATGTTCTTTAGCACAGGAAGGAATGTTGGGGGAAGTGGCATTGGTTGCATTGCCTGGTTTGAGGCTACCTGCAACCAAGAATGTTAAGGCATTACCTTTGCCATTATGTAGCCATACTTAAGTTTGGGCAGGAACATGGTAAGGGTTATAACTTTTATAACTTACACACGGTGGGAGGATAGTGGAGTGATATGTAGTGTTACCTGGCACCTTAGTCCAATGTGTGCCATTAATAAGGGACCCCACTGGGGGTAAGTCAGTCCCTCCTAGCCAAGTAGTTACATTATTAGAGGCTGGGAAAGGGGTGTCTGCCCAGGGAACAGGCCAGAAAAAAGGTGTATCTAAGAGATGGGCCCAATAGAGAGTAGCAGGTGCAGGTTGCAGGCAAAGTGAGAGCATAAAAAGGATCAATATCCTATGCTAGTTGCAATGTACAACAGAGAGCATACCAAGGAACAAATTATTTGGAGTGAATGGTGTCTGTGTCCAGAGCAGGATTTTCTCAGCCTCCTGAGTCATCTTTTTCAGCATCCCCCAGGTGATGTTCGGGGCTTGTGTTGTCTGAGGAAGCTGCATTGTCCAGGACTGTGGGTCATGCAGGGACATTTCTTTCATTTCTTGTACCGGGTTGGGTCCCAGCCATGCCATGATGTGGTTTGATGCATCCTTCTGGAATCCAAAGAGGACTTGAGGGAATGTGAACATAAGCATATCCTCTTCCCCATGTTAGCAAATCATTTGGACGACATCATACATTACTATTTACGTCATTCCACAAAACTGCAGGTTTTATGTCTTGAGAGGTTTTAGCAAAGTGCTTTTCTTTCTATAGCTGATTTAAATTTATTTAAATTTAATAAATTAAGGGTAAATAAGACTTGTGCTAGTAGTGTTGCAGGGTCCTTACTCATATTCCCCCTTTATTGTTTTCTGAGCATATTTTTAAGGGTGGAGTGAGGATGTTCTACTATGCCCTGTGGCCCGCCCCATAAACGCAAAAGTTAAGAGAACATATTGGGTGGACTCTCCAGGAAAAGCATGTGTGCTAATTAGGTTAGAATTGGTATCAACGGATACATGTACATATCTTAGTTTTCCAAATTCAGGGATGTGCATAACATCTCTTTACCATAACTGATTAGGTTCTAGTCCTCTAGGGTCAATACCTATAGAGCCAGGGGATGTGCCTGTGAGCTGGCAATCTGGGCATTGCAGGATAATTTGTTTAGCTAGTCTTTGGGTAAGTTGAAATCGTTTAGTTAAGCTCCTCCAATTTTGGTGGAAAAAATTGGTGCAATTGGGTGGCTTGGTAAAGCAGTGACGTTATAACTTGCAGGTCTGCGTGATTATTGCCATAAGCCAGTGGGCCAGGTAGTGAGCTTCGGGCTCAAATATGTGTGGTAAAAATAGGATGTGTACATCGACCCAGCAGTTGCTGAAGTCATGGAAAAAGTGCACATAGGGTGGGCTTAAGAGGAGACTAAATGAAGGCTGTTTCTAGGTTCTGTAATAAATAAACAGAGTAAGCAGAGTCACTAACAATATTGATGGGCTGAGTGGAAAAAGTTTCCAGGGGCAATATTAAGCGTCCAACCTCAGCTCTCTGAGTGCTAGTAAATCCAGAATGAGTGAGGGTATTATGCAGTCTCCACTAAATAGCCACTTTTCCATTTTTACCAGAACCATCAGTAAAAACTGTTAAAGCATTAGGTATAGGGGAGTGAACTACTTTTGTAGGCAAAACTACAGGAGTACGAGATAAGAACTAAAGTAGTTTGTCAGCAGGAAGGGCATGCTCTATATGAAGGGCATGCTCTATAATCAGAGGGTGCTACCTGAAGGTCTAGAGATAGGGGCAATACTGCTTCAAATTGCTTTTTACTCCAAGAAATTCCGATGACATCAGGATCATAACCTAGAAACTGATTGCATCATCTATGGCCTGAATAGATGACTTTACTAACTAGCTGGATATAGGGAGATAGAGTTTTAGTCCTGGTATGTGAGCAAAAAACCCATTCTAGGAAGTGTAGCTCTGGGGCTATCTGTCCTATTAATCCTGTTGGGGAATGTTTATTAGGAAAAACAAACAATTGGACTGACTGAATATTTTGGGTTTATGCAATTTAGTTGCCTCTGGGAAATAGCTTACTCTATTTCTTCAATTTCCCTTTTTCCTGCAGGAGTTAAATACCTGGGAGAGTCTAAAGCTGTATTGCCCTTTAGGATAGAAAACAGGTTTCGCAATTTATCAGTAGTTTTGCCCAAGGTGGGGTGAAGCCAGTTAATATCGCCCAGTAATTTTTGATAATCATTTAATGTGTGTAAATTGCTAATATTTAATTTAACCTTTTGAGGTCTTACTGACTGGGAAGTTAATATGTATCCAAGATATTTCCAAGGAGAGGACAATTGTACTTTTTCAGGTGCTATGACTAAACCTCTTAACTGTGTATTCTTTACCACAGAGGCATATAAACTTAAAAGTACTGACTCCGTTGGGGCTGCTAGTAAAATATCATTCATAAAATGAACAATCTTGCAATTAGGAAATTATTTTCTATTGGGGAGCAAAGCCTGATTTACATGATAGTGACACATGGTAGGACTGTTTAGCATTCCTTGAGGAAGCACTTTCCAGTGAAATTGACTACCTGGCCTTTCGCTGTTGATGGCTGGTATGGTAAACGCAAATTTTTCTCTGTGCTGTTTTGCAAGGGGAACAGTATAAAAGCAATCTTTTAAGTCAATAATGATTATAGGCCAACCTTGAGGAATCGCTGCTGGGGAAGGGAGGCCCTGTTGAAGGGGCCAGGTTGCAAATTAGCATTGATAGCTGTAAGTCATGCAAAAGTCTCCATTTGCCAGACTTTTTGGGAATGATGAAAATGGGCGAATTCCAAGGGCTGTTTGATGGTTCTATATGGCTGGCTTTTAATTGTTCCTCAACTAATTGATTGGCTCATTGTAATTTCTCTCTCTTTAAAGGCTACTGTTCTACCCAAAGAGGATTTTAAGAGAGCCACGTTAGGGGTAAGTGAGGGATAATAACAGTGGCCATTATTAGAAAGAGGTCTGCAGAGTGACCTCAATTAACCCTTTCATAAATGGGCCAGCAACTCTGTTTTCTCTAATACTTTTTCTTTTTTCCTTATGTACCTGATTGCCTCATTGATCTTGCATCCTGGGCAGGCCAAGACTTCCCATTCTAATGCCGCTTGCCTATAACAGGGTCCTGTAACTGTAGCATATCCCTTGTCTTTTTTCCAGTTTATTGGAGGAAGGGGCTCAGGCAAAACCTCTGTTTTCTCTTTGGTATTTTTGCTCATTAATGGCTGGGCTGAGGGAGAAGCAGGCAGTAAGGTAGGTGACGGTTTCTCCTCTCTTCCCTTGTTAGGCTCTTCTGTGTAGAGTGGGACCAAATCAGCCCTAACTAAAGCCCATAATGTTAGAGATGCCCTCGTGCATGATGTTATTTAAGATTTCTCCCAACTTGTTCCCGGAGCTCTATGTCTAGCATACCTTCTTCCAGGAACCATGGGTTATGGGAAACAACAGTTTGCATTAAGTCCCTTAATTGAGCCTGTGAAACCGAGTCTCCACTAGCTTTAAGCTGCTGTTTCAATATTTTTATATACTGTTGCTATTGAGCTGATAACTGTTGTCCCATGATGAAACCCTAGGCTGAACAATTCCCTTGAACTTGGAAATCCCAAGCAGGCACCAATGACTTACTGACTTACGGACTGCGTAGTCCCTTCACCTTCATTTTCCAGGGTTCCGTCATGATCCTTTGCAGCATTCCTCATGTGGGGGCACCACCGGCCAAGTCTGTCCTGCAGACTCTGGATTAGTGTTGAATGAAATAAATTCTCAGACACAGATATCCAGTGAAAGAGGGGTATAGGAGACTGCCGGCACTAGGGGCCGAAGACAGTTAGCAGCACCCCTAAGCAGGCAACACTCACTTTTATTTAGTACAGATTTAATGACAAAGGCTTAGAGCAAACACAATTTGTAGGTAATAAATATTGCCAAATCCCCAAGTAGAGAGCAGTCCTGTGCACATATGATAAAAGGTTGGTTTTAGGACAACATGAGTAAACAAGCTATTTAAATAAACTCTTCTACATTCCCTTGTTATCTGCTCCTTGCTATTAGCTCAAGGTAAGAGGATTAGGCTGCCTTCAGCCATAACCCTTTCCCAAAGCTTTTGCAAAACCTTCCAGCCTTCCAAGAAGGTTTGCACCTTTCCTATAATTTTTCCCACCACCCTGACTCATTTCCTACACTGTAAAGATAGAGTATATAATGCATATAACATGCAAAATATGTGTTAAACTACTGTTTATATGATTGTTAAGTCTCCAATCAGCAATAGACTATTAGTATATTTAAGTTTTGGGGAGTCAAAATTATAAGCAGATTTTTGACTGCATGGGAGTTGGCATTCTTAACTCCTTAGTTGTTCAAGATCAACTACTTTTTCTTTATATCTATTTTAAATTTATTGTAACTGTTTCTTGTTTTATCTTCCCATAATAATATATTTGGAACAATATTATTTTTAATTAAACAGTAATAATAAATATTACTCCATTTTTTGTTTACTTTTACTGATGACAGCTTTCAGCATTATCCCTTTCTCTTCCCCTTCTACTCCACACCTGAGCAAGCACATATGAAAGCTAGAGTGGTTTCACTTTTGGTGCTGGTAGCAAGTTCAAACAGCTTGTAGCAACCTGCAGCTAGGTGTCACTCCCTTTCCATCATTTTAAAAAAAAAAAAAAAGAACAAAAACCAAAAAAAAAGTCAGTTTCTTTTTTTTTTTAAATTTTTTCCCCTGATCTCTGAAGCCATTTGCTGACCAGCTTGGGGATCTTGCCTTGCTTTCCCCAGAAAACTTCATTTGTGAGTATTAAATCCTTTTACTACTCTTTTGGTATGTGTGTGGTGTCATCATCCTTAATATCTGAAACAGATTTTGAAGTTCCATTCTACTTCTTCAACATCTTCAACAAACAATCTAATTACTAACAGATTCCTGTGTCTCAACACTAGGTATGTGATAAATTACTAATATGTGATGAAGAGTAGTCTTTTTTATTTTGGGGCTATTTTTAGTCTAGTGAGTTCAAATAAAAATTAATTCATTAGTTAATTCATATCAAGGACTTTAATAGAAAAGGGTAGGTATCGCATGGTGTGCAGTCACACTGTCCTGAATGTGAATATTTATATACCTAGTTCTTTCTAGTTTTGGCCTTAAAGGTGTTATTGACCTTCAGCATTCTTCTCTGTCAAATGTAGATGATAATATCCCTCACAAGAAAGGTTTGAGGTGGCCTAATATAAGTAAATCACATAGGGCAGGACTGAGCACATAGGCAACACAAATGTTATTTTGCTTTCCCTGCTGACTACAAAAGATATGTATAATATGGTGCTTACATTTATTTAAGAAATTGCATATGCAATTATTAAATATCATAACAAGATTCATGTATATATACATTAAACTATGCTAAGCCTTTATATGTCCAGTGCTGGAGACAAGAATCAAACTTGCACAGAGTAATGATAGAACCAACTCTCACCAACTCAGTCAGACAGGTTTTTCCTCCCAATATACTAAATCATTTATCGGCACATTCAGTATGCTAGACACTGAGTTTTATTCATTTTTTTCATTTCATCCCCACACTTTCTGTGAAGTGATGATTATGATGATGAAGATGATGGTGATAGTCCTAATGATAATACTATTTACTGGCATGTGTGCTTCGAAATGCACCAAGTATTTTACATACGTAGTTAAATCCTTGTGATATTTGTGTGAAGTAGGTAATGTTATTATGCCCACTTTATAGATGAGGAAATTGAGAGAGTCAAGTTACTTGTAAAATATTGTATGGATTGTCACCAACCAAACCAGTATTTGATTCTAAGCTGTGTTTAACTCTTGTGACCATAAATATAATCCTAATTCTACTACAGCAAGATAACTCAGATATTCATTTTGGCTCATTTCATGAATCACTTGAGAAATTTAAATTCCAGCATGTGGAAATATTTAATTCTGCATATATGATAACTTCACAAGTATTTCAGTAAAATGAAGCTAGAAGAAGCAGTATAAGATATATGGGAGGGTAGGCTACCAGTGGGCTATTCTGTGATTTATGTATATTCTTGTGGAAAGGGCTGGCCTTGAGCAATGAGTAAACATCATGGCTACTCTTGTGGTGTCTGGACTCTGCTAAGGTCTTCCACCCTTGAAATTTCTCCCTGGAAGCAAAGCCTGTGAGGACAAAGAAACTTGAAAAGACAAATCCCATGGGATGGAGAAAACATCCATGTTCTAGAATACAAATGCCTCATTCCAAACCTCTGTTAGCTATTGTTGGAAAGCTATTGTTGGAAACCTCAGGCAGGACCCAGGTTCCTGGTTAGGAATGAGAAGGGAATACTTTGAGGTGTATGAAGGAGTAAGACTGATAAGATCAATGAAACTCGTGGAAAATTTCACAAGTTTTACTTTTTTTATTGTTGAACTTATGTATTTGTTTTATTTTATGGATCATTTAAGACTTTGTGCCCTTTTTTAAATTGGTAAGGGATGAATTGTGCTCTTTTTTAGCATAAATATAAGATGCTTGCTAATATTTATTCACTGTAAAACAGTATTAAAATTCTTCAACTGTGCAAACTATTTCTTTTGAGGTATTCTATTTTGATTTTCTTGTGTGGTCCTCCTCATCTTCCTACCTAGAAAGAAACATAGCAGTCTTCTACTTCCTCAACATTTTGGTGGAACATACTGAGCTTTTCTTCATCTCTCTGAGACCTATTGAAAATAATACAAACATACTATTTTTCTCCCTTCAAATATTTGTGAAAAAAGTAGCTGTAATTTTTCTTAACCGACTAGTTGGAGTGGTGATATTAGTTCACTGGAAAAGTCATCTGCTGCTTCACAAATTATGTCATTAATTGGAAGAGAGCTACCCTGGCCTTTCCCACCATATTCCCCATCACTAACATTGCCACATAGGTTTAATCATATGTACCAAATGCCCCTTTGCCTTTTCTATGTCTATCCTCATGCAAACACTAAATTCTGTGCTTGCTGTGTTGAGTTAGTTCTTTCAGTCTTCAGACAAAAAATAATACCACAAAGTCCAGCTTTTTTTGCTTTTTTAAAAAATTGTACATTTAGTCCATGATTTTGAAAGTGGCTTTATAAAGATTACAAGCTGAACTATTTAAAAATTATGAGTTTCTACAAAAATTATATTGAAGTAAAGTTATTTCAGCCCTTATTCTAGAAGTTCTGTGTTATTAATGGAGATAATTCTAAGTTCTAATATTTTATCACATGACAAATGAAGGCTCCATTAGGAATTTGGAAACCAAATTAAAAAGTCATAAAGATCAAATTTCTGTGGCCTATACTCAATGATATAAAATAAAAAACTAACTGGGAAAGAGTTTTTTGTTGTTTTTTTTTTTTTTTTGAGACGGAGTCTCGCTCTGTCGCTCAGGCTGGAATGCAGTGGCGCGATCTCGGCTCGCTGCAACCTCCGCCTTCTGGGTTCAAGCGATTTCCCTGCCTCACGGTGAGATCTTGCCTCACTGCAACCTCCGCCTCCTGGGTTCAAGCGATGTCCCTGCCTCTGCCTCCTGAGTAGCTGGGATTACAGGCACCCGCCACCACCCCCAGCTAATTTTTGTATTTTTTATTTTATTTTATTATTATTATACTTTAAGTTTTAGGGTACATGTGCACAATGTGCAGGAGAGATAGGGTTTCACCATATTGGCCAGGCTGGTCTTGAACTCCTGACCTTGTGATTTGCCCGCCTCAACCTTCCAAAGTGCTGTGAGCCACCGCGCCCGGCCTGGGAAAGAAAATTTTAATGCATATTCAAAAATTTCCTTTTTGGGAGGCAAAGTGTAAAACACTTATAAATCTAGACGTCAGTGGTCAGTCCACTATTATTTTATTTAGATTTGAATTTACTATAGGTGATTTTTACAGCTCCATATTTAAATTTTCACAACTCAAGACATTCCTTTATAATGCCACTGTACTGTCATTTTAAAAAATTATGTTCATTGATGTACAATATTTGTACATATTTATCGAGTTCATGGAATATTTTGTTACATGCATACAATGTGTAATAATCAAATCAAGGTAACTGGGATATTCATCACCTCAAACGTTTATCATTTTTTGTGTGTGCTGAATGCATTCTAAAACTTTTCTAATAGTTATTTTGAAATATACAATAAATTACTGTTACCTATAGTCACCCTACTGTGCTATGGAACACTGCAACATATTTCTTCTATATGACTGCATTTTTGTGCCCATTAACCAACCTCACTTTAAACCCCCTGGCCCCTACCCATCCAAGCTTCTGGTAACACCATTCTACTCTCTAGCTCCATGAAAGAAATACATTTTTGTAGCTACTGCATATGAGTGAAAACATGCAGTATTTTTCTTTCTGTAGCTGGCTTATTTCATTTAAAATAATGTCCTTCAGTTCTATTAATGTTGCCAGATAATGACAGGATTTTATTTTTATGACTGAATAATATTCCATTGTGTATATAAGCCACGTTTTCTCTATCATTTATCCATTGATGAACACCTAGATTGATTTAACATCTTTATTACTGTGAATGGTGTTGAAATAAACATGGAGGGCAGATATCTTTTCAATATCTAGATTTCCTTATTTTGGCACTGGGCAGTGAGATGGTCTGGATCATATGGTAGTTCTATTTTTAGTTTGTGAGGAACTTCTGTACTGTTTTTCATAATAGCTATACTAAGTTACATTTTCCTTGAGCTTCCTAATTATAGCACACTCACTGTAATGTGAAGAAGCTATACAATCTTAGACTTTTGGAAAGAAAATATTACTTATAACAGGTACATTCATTTTATTGTAGTCACCCATCACTGCTGTATGACTTCTGAGTCAGTTTTGGTTGTCATGTTACATTTTTCACACACAAATTATTTTTTTCATTTTATATTGTGGAGGAGAAAAAACACAGATGTGTATCAGAGAAAAAAAATTATAATCTAAAAATTAGAGCAGAATTGAAACAAAGATTCCCTTTAGAATAGGGATGCAGATCTCTTTTTCAGATGATAACTAAATATTGACATAATAAAATACATCAATAAAAGTAAAATTATTCCAGATTTCTTTTACAGGGGCAACTCAATAGTTCTAATTATGTCTCTTTATTTGAATGTTTAAGTAATTTATTCCAAATATTCCATTATGTAGCTTGTAAAGTCTCCTCTGCTACTGAGTCAGCTCTGCCTCCTTTTTTTTTTTCTTTTTCTTTTTTTTTTTTTGAGACAGAGTCTTACTCTGTCACCCAGGCTGGAGTGCAGTGGCACAATCTCGGCTAACTGCAACCTTCCACCTCCCAGGTTCCAGCGATTCTCCTGCCTCAGCCTCCTGAATAGCTGGGACTACAGGCATGCACCACCATGCCTGGCTAAGTTTTTTTATTTTTAGTAGAGATGGGGTTTCACTATGTTGGCCAGGCTGGTCTCGAACTCCTGACCTCAGGTGATCCACCTGCCTTGGCCTCCCAAAGTGCTGGGATTACAGGCGTGAGCCACCATGCCCAGCTAGCTCTGCCTCCTTCTAAATTAGATCTGGTCAGTTTACCGTTTTTTATTTTGGGATCATACTAGTACTCTTCAACTGAATTTTAACCTTACTTTGAAATATTTATATCTGGCTTTAAGAATTTAAATGAAGACATTTTCACAGACTAATTCTAGAAATAGTGCTCTGTGTGACATTAATATTCTATAATATAATTTAGATTTCCGAGAACTGTCTTGAATATTTGGTAATTTCAATTTGCCATTTTCTCTTACTGAAATGCATAACCACATCAGTATCACAATTTCTCTAAGGTACAATAATATAATTCATCCAGGAGTGCCAGTCTTTTTACATTTTGCATACATTTTTTATCTTCTCCTGAGATAGACAGGTTTTAGTTTTAAGTTGTGATAACCATCATATTTGTCTTCATGATATATCAGAAATTTCAAAAAATACCCTTTAAAGCAGACTGATTATCACTGATTTTGATAAATGTATATATATTAGAGACAGCCAGAACTGAGAACTATACATTTTGGATGTAATGTCTGAATTTTCCTTTTGGCAACACAGATTATATTTCACAAAGAAGATTAACCCTTTCAATAAATTTATGTTTGAAACTGACTCTTAAATTTTCTGTAAAGAAAACTGAATTAATATTTTATGTTCAAACAGGGAAATGCTGATGGTAGTCTCTCCTGTCTCTTATAAAACCATATGCTGAATAATAGTATAAGTTAATAGATTTTGGTCCTTTTTAGATAATGAAGGCACATTGCTGAGCGTGCATACAAGACACATATGTTCACAAGCCCACCTTATTGCTTCATTAATGGGCAGGAAGTATCCAAAGAAGAACATTTTTATTAAATAAAAACAAAGAAACAGACAAGGTCCTTTAATGACCTTGCTGGGATTCATTGCCTACTAGAAATGTTAACTCTTCACACAGATCCCATCTCAGTCTAGAATCTGCGCTAATAGTCCTAGAGCCCCAGGAACAGTTACTCATTAGTTCTATGTGCACTTGCCAAAATGTTGTCTTACTTGACCGTTGCTCTTTCCATATTCCAATTGCAGGCTTATTTTTTTGACAGTTATCAACTCTTTCACCAACCTAGGAAACGTTTGGAATAGAAACACAACAATGAGTGAATAAATCGTTAAAATATAACATAGGAAGGGCAAAAACAATGAATATTAAGTGTATAAATAAAAAACCTAGGAGTAGGGGAATTCAAATAACTTCCCAAACTCAGAGAGAATAGAAATATTAGCTGAAGTTCAAATGCACATATCACTGAGGAATTCCTTACACAACAGCATATCCAGAAAAATTTTATTGTGATTCTGAAAAAGTGTTACAACTTATTATAGCCTTCAGTTTGTAGCATTTACTATGCGATTTCATTAGTTGTCATATTTTAGAAACACGCTGACTGAAAGGGACAGACACTTTAATTTCAAATAATATCTGATCAATTGTACAAGAAAAATAATGTGCTACTGAGGGTTATGTAAGAGCATAAATAATAAATATAGGTAATGGTTTTAGAAGATTGTGAATTCTTGGAAATCTTTCTTCCTGTCTAGGAGTAGGCCTAAATTCTAAGGCAATTGAATAAAATTTATTTAAAGTATTCCTCTTTAAGTAAAATAAGATTTTCATAAGCGTATGTTAATGATTGACTGAGCATAAATAATATCACCATAATAGGAATATACATTAGGGACTGATACATCTTTAAGGAAGAGTATGGAAATAGTATATTTTCTCATTCATCAATTTCACATGTTTAATAACATTTGTTATTCTTGAAATGTGTCAACTTCTTTCTGGAACTACTTGCAGGCAATAGTTTCATTTATATTTTTATACAAATTTATTTATATATAATTTACATAGTATATAATTAACCCATTTAGTTGAAGCTAATCATTTTTGATACATTCAGATATGTGCAACAATCATCCCAGTCAATATTGGAGAAATTTTTATCACCTCAAAAAAAACCTCTGCACACTTTAGCTATTAACCTCCTATTCCCCACATCATCATCATCACCTCAGCCTAAGCAAATACTTTCTGTCTTTATGGATTTCCTTATTCTGGACTTTCTTTTTTTTTTTTTTTTTTTTTTTTTTTGAGACGGAGTCTCGCTCTGTCGCCCAGGCTGGAGTGCAGTGGCGGGATCTCGGCTCACTGCAAGCTCTGCCTCCCGGGTTCATGCCATTCTCCTGCCTCAGCCTCCCAAGTAGCTGGGACTACAGGCGCCCACCACTACGCCCGGCTAATTTTTTGTATTTTTAGTAGAGACAGGGTTTCACCGTTTTAGCCGGGATGGTCTCGATCTCCTGACCTCGTGATCCGCCCACCTCGGCCTCCCAAAGTGCTGGGATTACAGGCGTGAGCCACCGCTCCTGGCCTGGACTTTCTTAAGTGTTTTTTCTCTGTGGCTAATTTATTAAAGACTGATGGAACTTCTTCACTTGCTACAGGTCTATTCCAATTACCTATTTCTTCTTGAGTCAACTTCAATAGAGCGTGTAAGTCTAAGAGATGTTCATTTCATGTAAGTTATCTAATTTGTTTGTTGGCAATTTTTCACAATATTTCATTATAATCCTTTTTATTTCCATAAATGAAATAACAATGCCTCCTCTTTGATTTCTAATGTTATTTGAGTCTTTTCCTTATCAATCTAGCTGAAGGTTTGCACATTTTGTTGATCTTTTCAAAGAATAAAGATGTGTGTTCATTGTTTTCTCTATTGTTACCTATTTTCAGTTTCATTAATTTAACTCTAACTTGTATCATTTCCTTCATTTTAATTGTTTTAGGCTTTTCTAGTATATGAAGGTATAAGTTTGACTATTGATTTTATATCTTTCTTCTTTTCTAATATAGACATACAGCAATACATTTTTCCCTAAGCACTGTTTAGCTTCATCTTAGAAGTTTTGTTACATTATGTCTTAATTTTCATTCATTTCTAAGTATTTTCTGATGTATCTTTTGATTTCTTCATTGATCTCTTAGTTGCTTTATAATGTGTTGTTTAATTTCCACGTATTTGTGAGTTACCTTAATATTTCCTAGTTATTGATTCACAATTGTATCCCATTGTATTCATAGAATATATGTACTATCTCATTCCTTTTAAATTATTTATGTTTGCTTTATGGCCTAGCATGTTGTACATCCTGGAGTATGTTCCATGTGCATTTGAGAATAATGTATGTTATATTGTTGTTAGGTGGAGTATTTCATATATCTCTGTTAGATTTCTTTGGTTCCCAGTGTTATTGCAGTCTTTTATTTTTTTGTTTATTTTGTTTCCAGTTATTCAATTATTTAAAGTAGGATATTAAAGTCTGTGTTATTTTCAATTCTTCTATTTCTCCTTACACTTCTGTCAGATTTTGCTTTATGAGGCAAGGAGAATAAGCTTTGAGAAATGGATCTAAGTGTGGGTTCTAATACACAGTGGGTCCTTGATGTGTGTCATCAAAATTAGTTCCTATAAAGCATGAACCAAACTTTCATGGACATAAAAGGTATATATAAATATATCTTATAAATATATATGAATAAAATGAATATTTATTATATATAAATAACATATTCACCAACAAATATTTAGTTTTATAACTTTTATTTTAGATCAGTGGTACATGTGAAGGTTTGTTATATTGGTAAACTCATGTCATGGGGGACAAGAGATTCTGGTATGTTGTATCTTTGTTCTCATTAGTTTCAAAGAACTTCTTGATTTCTGCCACAATTTCATTATTTACCCTTAACTTATTTAGGAACATGTTGTGTAATTTTCATGTAATTGATGGTTTTGAGCTATTTTCTTAGTCTTGACTTCTATTTTTATTGTGCTGTGGACTGAGAATGTGCTTAGTATGATTCTGGTTCTTGTGCATTTGCTGAGGATGGTTTTATGTTCAATTATGTGGTCAGTTTTAGAGTATGTTTCATGTGGTGATGAGAATGTACATTCTGTTGTTTTTGAGTGGAGAGTTCTGTAGAGGTCTATTACATCCATTTGGTCCAATGTCAACTTCAGGTCCTGAATATCTTTGTCAATTTTCTACCTTGATGATCTGTCTAATACTGTATAGAGGAGTGTTGAAGTCTCTATTACTATATGGGAATCTATGTCTCTTTGTAGACATAGTTCTCTAAGAACTTGCTTTATGAGTCTGGGTGCTCCCGCATTGGGTATATATATATTTAAGATAGTTAGGTCTTCTTGTTGAATTAAATCCTTTACCAATATGTAATGCCCTTATTTGTCTTTTTAAATCTTTGTTGGTTTAAAGTCAGTTTTGTCTGAAATTAAGATTACAACCCCTACTTTTTTCTGTTTTCTATTTGCTTGGTAGATTTTACTCCATCTCTATTTTGAGCCTATGGGTGTCATTATGTATGAAATGGGTCTCTAGAAGACAGCATACCATTGGGTCTTGCTTTTTTATCCAACTTAACATTCTGTGCCTTTTAAGTGGGGCATTTAGTCCCATTTAAATTGAATGTAAATTTTACATTCAAGGTTAGTATTGATATGTGTAGAGTTGATTCTGTCATTGTGTTGTTAACTGGTTATTAGGCTGGCTTGTTTGTGTGGTTGGCTGATAGTGTCACTGGTCTGTGTATTTGTTTTTGTATCAACTGGTAGCGATCTTTCCTTTCTGTATTTAGTGCTCCTCTCAAGGTCTTTTATAAAGCAGGTCTGTTGGTAACAAACTCCTGCAACATTTGCTTAACTGAAAATAATCTTCTTTTTCCTTTTCTTAGGAAGTTTAGTTTGGCTGGATATGAAATTCTTGGTTGAAGATTTTGTTTTTCTTTAAGAATGTTGAATATAGGCCCCCAATCTCTTTTGGCTGGTAGGGTTTCAGCAGAAAGGTCCACTCTTAGCCTGATGGGGTTCACTTTGTAGGTTACCTACCCTTTCTCTCTAGCTGCTTTTAACTTTCTTTTTTTCATTTTGACCTTGGAAAATCGGATAATTATGTGATTATGTGTCATGGGGATTATCTTTTTTTTTTTCTTTTTGTAGAATCTTGCAGGAGTTCTCTGTATTTCCTGAATTTGGCTGTTGGCCTCTCTAGCAAGGTTGGGGAAATTTCATGGGCAATATCCTGAAATATATTTTCCAAGTTGTTTGCTTTCTCCCCGATATGGTTTGGCTGTGTCCCCACCCAAATCTCACCTTGAACTGTAATAATCTCCATGTGTCAAGGGCAGGGTCAGGTAAAGATAAATGAATTATAGGGCAGTTTCCCCCATACTGTTCTCATGGGAGTGAATAAATTTCATGAGATCTGAAGGTTTTATAATGAGAGTTTTCCGGCACAAGCTACTGCCTGACGCCATGTAAGACATGAGTTTGCTCCTCGTTCACCTTCCAGCATGATTGTGAGGCTTCTGGAGCCATGTGGAACTGTAGTGAATTAAACTTCTTTCCTTTATAAATTATCAAATGTCAGGTATGTCTTTATTAGCAGTGTGAGAATAGACTAACAATACATTCCCCTTCCTTTTCAGGAATACCAATGATTTGAAGATTTGCCCTCTTTACAGAAACCCTACTTCTCAGAAGTTTTGGGTTTTTATTTGGGCTTTTATTCTTTTTATTCTTTATTTTTGTGTGACTGGCTTATTTAAGAGATCCAGTATTCAAGTTCTGAGAGTCTTTCCCCCGCTTGGTCTATTCTGCTGTTAATACTTGTGATTGCATTGTGAAAATCTCCTGTTGTGTTTTTCAGCTCTGTGAGACCTGCTAGGTTCTTTTTTATACCAGCTATTTCACCCTTCAATTCCTGCATTATCTCATTGTGATTCTTAGTTTCCTTAGATTGGATTTTGCTGTTCTCCTGAATCTCAATGATTTTCATTCCTATTCTTATTCTGAATTCTATTTCTGTCATTTTAGCCAGCTCAGCCTGGGTAAGAACTCTTGTCAAAGAACTGTTGCAGTGGTTTGGAGTGCTTATAACACTCTTGCCATTTGAGTTACCAGAGTTCTTGCATTTTGTTCTCTTCTTTTTGTGTGGTTGTTCCTGAAACTACAGTGTAGATTGAGTTTAGTCAATAGACTTGTTTTCTGGATGTTTCCACAGGGATGAAGCTTTGTGCAAGGTCTTTATTTGAAGTTGACTTCTTGTCTTTTGTGTCAAAGTAGAGTATATTAGTGAGATATTTTTGGTGTTAAAACTCTGGGGAATGTGATCCTGTAGGTGGCACTTAGGCATATTGGTCTGTTGGTAGACTCTTGCTTGATTGTGTGGCTCCCCTATGTTACCTCATAGTTGCAGCTGTGTTCCCTCTCAATGTTCTGAAAGTGCAAGTTCCTTTCCCCCTTGAGCAATGGCAGTAGATGCAGATACTCAACTCCTTGGCTGCCCACTGCAACTCTGGTGTAATCTCAGGGTTACTGTTCCTTACCCAACTTGGAGGCAGCAGAGGAAGGGACCTTCATAGTGGTTGTGGCCAAGGGTCTTTTGCTTATCTTCTGGGGGCTCCACCCCAGAGAGATGCAGGTCAAATCGCTCAGTGCAATCAACCCAGGATGGAGGGTCTATGCTGTGGGTCAAAGCTAGGGGTTCCTGTCTGCTGACAAAAGTCAGGGATGGAACAGGGGATGGACTGGCCTTTTCTCCTTGGGTTGACTGCAGGTTGTTGGAAGTGTAAATAAACACTTAGGGTCTCTGACCCTTCATTAGTCTGGGGCTAGAAAGGACAGTTCCACTGAAGAGGTAGTGGCAAAGAGGCTTTCAGTTGGCCCTAGAGGCTCTGTCCAGGGAGTTGCAGAGCTGCCACTGGCTTGATAGCTCTGGCAAGAGAATGACTGGGGGCCCAGGCCTGGAGGAACTGCCTAGTGAGTAGATATGGGAACAGGCCCCCACATAACAGTCTGGCCACTTTTCACAGGGCTATTACAATATGCTGGGGGTCCACTTCAGTCCTTATTCACCATGGATTTTCCAGTACCTGAAGGTATCAAAAGTGAAGGCTGCAAAACAGGAAAGACAGCAGCCTGCCCCTGCTTTGGGGGCTTTGTCCTAGGGTGGTACAGACCTGTTGCCTGCCTGAATACACCTGTAAGAGGTGGCTGGAGACCCCACTTGGGAGTTTCTACCCAGTGAAGAGGAATGGGATTGGGGACCCACTTTAAAAAGCAGCCTGTTACATTTTCATAGGACATCTGTGCTGTGCTGGAAAACCACTTCAGTCCCCAGTTGGTTTGGGCTCCCCAAAGCCTAAAGGCTGGCACAGTGCATTAGTCAATTCTCATAGTTCAACATTGTTGGTGAGGGCCCAGGAAACTTAACAATCATGGCAGAAAGGAAAGCAAACAAGTCCTTTTTCACAGGGCAGCAGGAAGGAGAAGAATGAGAGCCAAGAGAATGGTGAAGCCCCTAATAAAACCATCAGATCTCGTGAGAACTTACTATCACAAGAATAGCATGTGGGAAACCACCTCCTTGATTAATGACCTCCCTCTGGGTTCCTCCCAAAACACATGGGGATTATGGGAACTACAATTCAGGATGAGATTTGGGTGGGGACACAGTCAAAGCATATCATTTCTTCCCTGGCCCCTCCCAAATCTCATATCCTCATATTTTAAAACATAGTCATGCTCTTCCAACAGTTCCCCAAAGTCTTAACCCATTCCAGCATTCACTGAAAAGTCTAAATTCAAAATCTCATCTCATACAAGGCAAGTACCTTTTGCCTATGAGCTTGTAAAATCAAAAGCAAGTTAGTTACTTCCTTGATACAATGGGGGTACAGACATTGGGTAAATACAACTGTTACAGATGGGAGAAATTGGCCAAAACAAAGGGGCTCCAGGCTCCACACAAATCCGAAATCCAATAGGGTGGTCATTAAACCTTAAAGTTCCAAAATGATCTCCTTTGACTCCATGTCTCATATCCCAGTGATGCTGATGCAAGAGGTGGGCTCCCATGGCCTTGGGCAGCTCCACCTCTGTGGCTTTGCAGGGTACAGTCCTCCTCTCAGCTGCTTTCATGGGCTCCTACAATTGAGTATCTGCATCTTTTCCAGGTGCATGGTACAAGCTGTTGGTAGAGCTACCATTCTGGGGTCTGGAGGATGGTGGCCTCCTTCTCATAGCTCCACTAGGCAGTGCCCTAGTGGGGACTCTCTGTGGGGGCTCCAACCCCACATTTCTCTTCTGCACTGCCCTAGCACAGGTTCTCCATGAGGGTTTCACCCCTGCAGCAAGCTTCTACCTGGACATCCAGGCATTTCCATACATTCTCTGAAATCTAGGCAGAGGTTCCCAAACCTCAGTTCTTGACTTCTGTCCACTTGCAGGCCCAACACCATGTGTAAGCTGTCAAGGCTTGGGCTTGCACCCCCTGAAGCAGCAGCCTGAGCTGTATGTTGAACTGTTTTACCCACATCTGGAGCTGAAGCATCTGGGATGCAGGTTACTATGTCCCAAGGCTACACAGACCAGGGGGGCACTAGGCCAGACCCATGAAACCATTTTTCCCTCCTAGGCCTCTGGGCCTGTGTTAGGAGGGGCTACTGTGAAGGTCTCTGACATGACCTGGAAACATTTTCCCCACTGACTTGGTGAGTAACATTCGGCTCCTCATTACTTATGCAAATTTCTGCAGCCAGATTAAATTTCTCCCCAGAAAATGGGTTTTTATGCTGGGTATGGTAGCTTATGCTTGTTATCCCAGCACTTTGGGAGGCTGAGGTGGGCAGATCACCTGAGGTCAGGAGTTTGAGGCCAACCTGGCCAACATGGTGAAACCCCATCTCTATTAAAATACAAAAATTAGCTGAGTTTGGTGGCATATACCTGCAATCCCAGCCACTTGGGAGGCTGAGGCACAAGAATCACTTTAACCCAGGAGGCAGAGGTTCCAATGAGCCAAGATCATGCCATGGCACTTCAGCCTGGGTGACAGAGCGAGACTCTGTCTCAAAAAATAAAAAAAATAGAGAGAAAAAGAAAATGGATTTTTCTTTTCCACCTCATGTCAGGCTACAAATTTTCTAAACTTTTATGCTCTGCTTCTTCTTGAATGCTTTTGACTTAGAAATTTCTTCCAGTAGATATCCTAAATTAGCTCTCTTAAGTTCAAAGTTCCACAGATCTCTAGGACAGGGGCAAAATGTCACCAGTCTCTTTGCTAAAGCATAGCAAGAGTCACCTTTGCTCCAGTTTTCAAGAAGTTCCTCATTGCCATCTGACACCACCTCAGCCTGAACTTCATTGCCCATATCACTATCAGCATTTTGGTCAAAACCATTAAACAAATCTCTAGTAAGTTCAAAACTTTCCCACATTTTTCTGTCTTCTTCTGAGACCTCCAATCTCTTCCAACCTCTGCCTCTTACACAGTTCCAAAGTTGCTTCCACATTTCTGTGTATCTTTATAGCAGCACCCCACTCTCTGCAGTACCAATTAGCTGTATTAATCCATTCTCACAGTTTAGCATGGCTGGGGAGGCCTCAGGAAACTTACAATCATGGCAGAAGGAAAAGCAAACATGTTCTTCTTCACAGGGTGGCAAGAAGGAGAAGAATGGGAACAGCATGAAGGGGAAAGTCCCTTATAAAACCATCAGATCTCATGAGAACTTACTATTACAAGAATAGCATGGGGGAATCCACCCCCATGATTCAATTACCTCTCACCAGGTCTCTTCCATGACATGTGGGAATTATGGGAACTACAATTCAAGGTGAGATTTGGGTTGGGACACAGCCAAACCATATCAAACAGCTAAGTCAGCCAAACAGCAAACATGGCGGCCCACCTCTCTCCCTGGGAGTTCCATCTTAGGGTGGTGCAATGCTGCTATCAGTGGCTGGCTGGAGTGCAAAGCCAATGGGTCTTATCCTGCAAGGCACCATGGAAGCAGGGCCTGCAGACAGTGGCTGCTCAACCCCCTGGATTCAGCCCCTTTCATAGGGGTATATATGGGGATCTAACCTTCCACTTTGCTAGAGTTGCAGCTGCTTTTCTAAGAAAGACCAAGAAGCCTGGGTATCTAAGGCTCCTGGGTCTCATGTCTGCCTGAATGACTGCTCTGCCAACACTCCATCTTGCTCTCTGTGTTAGACTGTGTTGCTCTTTGTGTTAGACTGTGTTGCTCTTTGTGTTAGACTGTGTTAGGCCCCAGTGGAGTGGGATCATGAGGGGATCTTCTGATCTGAGGTTTGCAAAGATCTATGGGAGAAGCATGGGTTCCCAGGGCTGCACATTCACTCACCATTTCCCTGGGTGGGGGAGGTTGCCCTGGCTCTGTGTTTCTATCCAGGCGGGCTGTCATGCAATCTTGCATTTCTCCATTCTTTATGGGTCACGTTTTTTCCTCGATTGTTCCCAGTGCATGTATCTGGATGTTTCAGTTGAAGGTGTGTATTTACTCACGCCTTCTGATCCTCTCCATGACAGCAGCATGCACTAGCTGCTTATAGTTGGCTATCTAGGCCACACCTCCACCAAGTGATGTATTAGTGATTATCTTTGTGGGAGAAAAATGGAAAATCAATTGCGGATAGTTATTGAAGAGATTTTTTTCACAGAACTAAATTCAATTTCTGTGTTCTATGAGAGTGTTTCTGAAGTGTTCAATTCAGTCAAATCTTATAGAGAATTTATTACCTTTGGTATCTACTGTCTACATTGTCTAGTTAATCACAGAACTCCTTTTCAATGTCTTTCAGTGGTTTGCCTTGGGTAGCTCTGGATAATTAGTAATCTCTCCTTAGATAATGTATTTTCTTCAGCTGCATAGTGAAATCAGGGCTTGACAAAGTACTGCTGCAAGGTCAAGTTGGGGCAATCATCTAATTTGGTATACATCTTCACTGAAACATAAGCCATACTCATAGATACTTCTTATCTATGGCTGATTATATTTACAGCCATGTATAGTTGCAACAGAGACTATATGGCTCCTAATACCTAAAATATTTACTCTCTGGTTATATTAGCCAGTTCTCACACTGCTAATTTATAAAGGAAAAAAGTTTAATTGACTCATGGTTCTGCATTGCTAGGGAGGCCTCAGGAAACTTACAATCATGGCAGAAGAAACCTTTCCACAGGGCAGCAGGAGAGAGAGGTGCTGAGCTAAAAGGGGAAAAGCCCCTTATAAAATCATCGCATCTCATGAGAATTCACTCACTATCATGAGAACAGCATGAGGGTGACTGCCCCCATGATTTAATTATCTGCACGCAGTCCCACCCTTGACATGTGAGTATTATTACAATTTAAGGTGAGATTTGGGTGGGGACACAGAGCCAAACCTTATCCCTGCTCCTTCATGAAAAATGTTTGCCAAACCCTAGCCTAGAAAACGAACTCATGTTTTGCATACTTGAAATTTCATCTATCTTTGTATTTGTTGTTAGCCCAGTGAACATATTCGAGATAGAACCCCTTGTCCACAATGTAGCAGTATGCAACAATGAAATTATGTCTTAGGCTGAATTCTACCACTCATAATCATTTACTAGTGAAAAGGCATTAAATGATTTCTTATACATTTGCTAAATTTCCAGCTCTACTTTGAAGTGTGTCAGCCTGTTGGAATTGAGATATTTGCTTTTTTGTGCCTCTGTATTTCTAGAAAATCGTCATATTTAAACATTTTTAATTTCCACCAGTAAAATCATTTCTAACATCCTATGCCAACTAACCAACTATCTTTTTCATTTAGTTAGCTATAGTTGGTGTTTGTTATGGTTGTCCCTTTACTCCCAACTGTGCCCTTTCCATGCAATATGTATGACAGCCTTCTCTAACTTCTCGCTGTGTTCCATACTTTTTTTTCAGTTATACATATTTGGATGTTTCAGATTGTTCTGTCCAAAATTTTAATTTTGTTTATTTTTTGGGATAAGCTACCAATATGGATTATCTATTATGTGTCTATATGTGTGTATCTCTACTATGCCTGTGTGTATATTTTCAAATGGCCACCTTAACAGAGGTAGTTAAAATTCCTATATTAAAGCACTTATTTTGAACCATAATGATCCTATATAGATGGCACAAATATATATACACAATTTAATATTTCACAAGACATTCATAAAATATTTTAGAAATATTTTGGTGATACTTAAATTTTTACATATACGTGTTAAGAAATACTAAAATTTATTTAGCTCTATATAATGTTTATATTAAATATAACCATTATTTAAAGTGCCTGTGTGATTTTCTTGATTTCTTAAGCAAACATTGAGTATATACAATTTAAAATTTGCTTGATTCAAAAGTAATATAAAATGTATTGAGTAATTTATATAAAGAGAAGTGCTGGCATAATGGTGAATGGTGATAGGATAAAATATAAACGAAAAAGTTTATATTTTAACTGTTTTGCTTTCTAATAAAATATGAATGATATATATATATATATATATATATATAATTTTTTTTTTTTTGAGACGGAGTCTTGCTGTCTCCCAGGCTGGAGTGCAGTGGCGCGATCTCGGCTCACTGCAAGCTTCGCCTCCCAGGTTCATTCCATTCTCCTGCCTCAGCCTCCCAAGTAGCTGGGACTACAGGTGCCTGCCGCCAAGCCCTGCTAATTTTTTGTATTTTTAGTGGAGACGGGGTTTCACCTTGTTAGCCAGGATGGTCTCTATCTCCTGACCTCGTGATCCGCCCGCCTCGGCCTCCCAAAGTGCTGGGATTACAGGCGTGAGCCACTGCGCCCGGCCGAAAAATAATATTAAATGGTAGTTATTTGTCAAATCTTGTGTACCATTGATGATAATCTCCAGGAAGAGTGACCCTAATGAGCTTTATACACAATATTTAAGGGAATAAAGAGAAGAACAGCACATGATTTTTTTAATGTTTTATAAAAGAAAGTATTCACCATAACTTTCACTAGAAAGAATTGTTTCTTCCTCTCCTAAAGGGAAAGTTACTGAAAATAATAAGTAGTTCAATTGTCTCTTTGAGACACATTGTAAGTTGCTGTTTATGATTTTTTAATTATCATTAGTTGAAACTGTCTCAACAGCTGTCTTCACAGATTTGGCTATTGCAAAGGCAATGATTCATGCCCAATCATGAAGCTCAAGCACAGTTCATTTACTACCTAAAATATATCTTTGCCAAATAGAGGCTGATGTATTGAGCTAATTGTCAGGATAATAACAATCAAATGAAAAGTGAGTGAAGAATGAAGAAGCTGTTTGTTTGCTTTTTTGTTGTTGTTCTTGTTTTTGTTTTTTTCTTTTGAGATAGTTTCACTCTTGTTGCCCAGGCTGGAGTGCAATGGCGCAGTCTCGGCTCACTGCAGTCTCCGCCTCCCAGGTTTAAGGGATTCTCCTGCCTCAGCCTCCTAAGTATCTGGGATTACAGGCACGAGCTACTATGCGTGGCTAATTTTTGTATTTTTAGTAGAGATGGGGGTTTCATCATATTCTTTAGGCTGGTCTCGATCTCCTGACCTCAGGTGATCTGCCTGCCTCGGCCTCCCAAAGTGCTGGGATTACAGGCGTGAGCCACCACGCCCAGCCTGCTTAGCTTTTAAAATTAGATTATTCTTCTCTTATAGTGAAACCTCTTCCTTGTCTTTACCTCACAGAAAATTGTCTTCTCCAGGACTACCATAAAACAAAACCTAATATGTTATCAATTACAAGCTTTCTTTTTTTTTTTTGCTGTCATGTATTGGCTACAAAAATAAGCCTTAATTCCATGTCAGTACAGAGTTATACAGGCTTTAGAATATTAAAGATTCTGGGCAGGAATTAAAGTATTATGTCAGTAATGCATTTTACTCATCTTAGTTTTCATGTTTATGCCAATGTTAGAAGCTGAAAAGAAAAATATATATAGTTTATTTTAGCAACAAAATTATATTAATTACTTGCTATTTAAAATATGAATATAAGTCATTTTAGCTGCATGCTTCCCATAACTATATGCAGCAATCTTGTGGATTCACTTTGTGAATATGAGCAGCGTTACAAATCGGTATGACGTACTCTGAAGTTTCATCCAACAGAGTAGCTTACTTCTAATTAAATTATAAGCTCCTTATTTATACTTCTTGTTACCCCATATTGCATTTTAGGTAATTAATCAATTAACATAGTGTTTCTTCTATTTCAAATATATCATTAGTTATTTTTTACCGAGTTTTGGAAGCACTATTAAAGTAAAACCATAGAATTAAACCTGACTTCACATCTAAATAAACTGAGTCATGTTAGATGAATTTAATTAAATAACTATGAATGATCTAAGTCCTACAGGGAAAGATAAGATAAATAAACCCTGTTTTTTGTAATTTTTTGACTAATTGAAGAGAATAGAAATGTACCAAAATTACCTAAGAAATTACAGATGAAGTGTATAATCTGGTGTTAAATGAACAAAGCTATTTAGCAGCACTGATCTCCAACTATTCCTTGTAAAGAATACATCTCTGCTGAGAAGGAAAGCATTTTCTACATAAAGATTGTAATTTTCAATTAGTGCTTCTCCCCAGGACTTTCAGAGGCAGCTTGGAGGTTGTATTATAAACATGTTTCCTCTATCTAATCATTAAAAGCAAACTAATAGGCAATCCACCCCCAACACACTTAAACACATACCCCATCCCCACATGTATGTGCGCAGCAAAGATGGAAAGTGAATCACGTGGGCATAAAGAAGAATTAGTTTTCTATAGGTGTAGCCTAACAACTGGGCCAGCTCCAAGCAGGTTCAATGGAATAGAAATAGAGAGGCTTATAAATATGTCCCTGTGTTATGTGTCCACTTCTACCTAGGTTTTTGATATATTCTCCTACGCTTTTAGCATATTCTCCTTTAGACCCTCTAGAGGATTTGTGTTTGTTTCTAAAATGATTAGAAATAACTGATTATCACATCCTTCAAGAATTCCTTCTTCTGTTTCAGTTATTTTATAATCTGTCTTTTCATAATATGATGTTTTCTCTCTAAGAACTTCTGCTTCTAGTTATTAAGCTAACGGATATGCATACAACATCTATTTTTTGGAAATATTTTATGTTAGAGGCAGCAAAGGTTTATGTAATACCTACTATATACCAGGGGATACACAAGAAATGAAGATTTGAAGCTTGTAAATTACAGAGGAGAAACGAAATAAAAATAATAGAAAGCATTTGTGTGTAATAACTCATCAGTTGAGTACAAGGGATGCACTCAAATTATTAAATGAGCACCTGATATCTGGCAGGGATAGGATCAGATAGAAGAAATAGAGCTGAAGTTGATTCTGAAAGATAAGCTGTTTATTAGGAGACTAGAGGTGTTGGCCACTACAAGTAGAGAAAAACAGTTTAATATGAATGAAAAAACATAAATTGAGGGTATGGCAGGAAATGAGATTTCATATCACATTATGTAGTCAGCTCTTTAAATTTCAGCTAATGGAATATCTTGTAAATGAGAGTGACATGATAGATTTTTATTTTACTAAGATAAGTCTCGCCCTCTAAAAGCTGGGTGGCCGATGAAAAAGTTCAGGGCACGTATAGCATCAATGAACATTTGAGTTTGACAGCATCATCAGGTTCAAACAAGTCAACCTGGTCCAGGTAGATCGAACAAAAAACTGGGAAACATAGCTTTACTTTGATACTAAGTGGGAAAATTATACAATGTGCATTCTGTTGCCATTGGGTGGTATGTATTTTATGGTATATATACCGTATACGTGTGTGTATATATATGTTATGTGTATACCATATATATATGGCATATATATATGTTTTGTGTATACCATATATATATGGCATATATATATGTTATGTGTATACCATATATATGGCATATATATGTTATGTGTATACCATATATATGGCATATATATATGTTATGTGTATACCATATATATATGGCATATATATATGTTATGTGTATACCATATATATGGCATATATATATATGTTATGTGTATACCATATATATGGCATATATATGCATGGTGTGTGTGTGTGTGTATATATATATGTGTGTGTGTATACATATATATGGTGTGTGTATATATATGTGTGTGTATATATGGTATCTGTGTATATACATGTATTCTGTTGTCATTGGATGGTATGTTATCTATATCTATATATATATATATATAAACCTGTTATATATATAAAACATATATATATAAACCTATGTTATATATGTAAAACATATATATATATAAAACCAATGTTACATATATATATAGAACATACCACCCAACGGCAACAGAATACACATTCTTCTCAAGTAAACATGGAATATTTTCCAGGATAGATCATATGTTAGCCCATAAAACAAGTCTTAAAAATTTAAGATCAAAATCACATCAAATATCTTTCCAACCACAATGCTAGAAACTAGAAATCAATAACAGAAAGAATCATAAAAAATCAACATCATGAATCATGAAAAAGTAACAAATATGTGTAAATTCAACAAGATGCTCCTAAATGACTGAGTCAAAGAAGAAATTAAAATATAAATTTAAAAAACCCTTTTCAGACAAATGAAAATGGAAACCCAACATACTAAAACTTACAGGATGTAGCAAAAGCAATTCCAAGAGAAATATTTATAGCAATAAATGATCAAGTAAGATTTATTCCTGGGATGTAAGGATGGTTTAAAATATGTAAATCAATAAGCATGGTTCACCATATTAACAGAAAGAAGAATAAAAACCACATGATAATTTCAATTGATTCAGAAAAAGTATTTGAAAAAATGTAACATCCTTTCAAAAATAAAACTCTCAAAACTTAGATATAGAAGGTATGTTCCTCAGCACAATAGAGGCCATATGTGAAAAATCCACAGCTAACATCATACTCAGTATTTAAATTTGAAAACTATTTCTCAAGATCATAAACAAGTCAAGGATGCCCACTTTTAACACTTCTGTTAAACATAGTACTGGAAGTTCTAACTAGAGCAATTAAGCACGAGGAAAAAATAAAAGGCACTCAAATAGGAAAAAATGAGGTGAAGTTATCTGTTTGTTGATGATACGATATAAACCCTGAAGGCTTCACCAGTAAAATTTGAACTAATTAAAGAATTTGTTAAAGTTATAGAGTACAAAATCAGCTCACAGAATTACTAGCAATTCTGTACACTAAAAATTAACTAAGTGAAACTAACAAAACAATTCCATTGCAATAGCATATAAAATATAAAATACTTAAGAGTAAATTTGAACAAGGAATTGATAGATGTCTATACTGAAACTGATAGAACATTGATGAGAGAAGAAATTACACAAATAAATGGAGAAATATTCAGTGTTTATGGACTGAAGAATTAATATTGCAAAAATGTCAATATTATCCAAAGCTATATAAAAATTTAAAGCAATTCCTATCAAAATTCCAATGTCCTTCTTTAAAGAAATGTAATACAAAATCCTAAAATTTGTAAGGAACCATAAAAGACCCTGAATAGCCAAAACAATTTGACCAAAAAGAACAAAGCTGGGGCCATCACACTACCAGATTTCAAAATATATTACAAAGCTATGACAAACAAAACAGTATGATACTGGCATTAAAAACAGCCACATTGACCAATCGAATCGAAAAGAATATGAAGTCCAGAAATCAACCTACACAGTTACAGTTCATTAATTTTTGACAAAGGTGACAAGAACACACATTGGGTAAAGGACATCCTTTTCAATGAATGGAGCTGGCAAAACTAGATATTCACATACAGAAGAATGAAAATGAACGCTTATCCCAACCCTTGTATAGGAATCAATTCAAAATGAATTAAAGACTTGAATGTAAAACCTCAAACTATAAAACTACTAGAAGAAGAGATAAGGAAAAAGCTCTGTGACATTGGTTTGGGTAGAGATTTCTTAGAAATGACTCAGAAAGAACATACATTGAAAGCTAAAACAGACAAATGGGATTACATCAAATGAAAAAACATTTACACCACAAAAAAAATAGGATGAAGAGAAAACCCATGAATTGGGACCAAATATTTGCAAGTCATACATTGGATAAGGGACTATGTCCAAAATATGCAAAGAACTCAAACTACTCTATAACAAGAAAACCAATAGCCCTATTGAAAATGGGCAAAGGACTTGAATAAAAATTTCTGAAAAGAAGATATATCAATGGCCAACAAATATATGAAAAAATGCTTACTATCTCTAGTCATCAGGGAAATTTATATTAAAACTAATGAGATAGGCCCTCACCATGTTATAATGGCTACTATCAAAAATGTGAAAGGTAACAAATATTGGTAAGGATGTGGAGAAAGGAGAACTCTTGTATATGGTGGTGATAACGTGAATAATTACTGTCAGTTTGGAAAACAGTATGGAAATTTTTCAAAAATCTAAAACTAGTATGACCATATGATTCAGCAATCCCACCAATGGGTATATGCCCAAAGGAAGTGAAATCAGTATGCTGTATGTACATGTGTATTCCCATGATCTTGGCAGCATTATTTATGAGAGCAAAGATGTTAAAAACAATCTAATTGTCTATCAACAGATAAATTGATTTAAAATTGTGCTATATATACACAATAGAACACTATGCAGCATAACAAAAAAAAGAAATTCTGTCATTTGCAATATCATGGATAAATTTAGAGGACATTGTGTTAAGTGAAATAAGTCAGGCACAGAGAGAATAATACCATGTAATCTCACTTACATGTGGAATTTTAAAAAGTCAGGCTCATAGAAGTAGAGAGTAGAATGGTAGTTACTAGAGGATTGGAGGGGTGGTGAACAGGGTACAAAGTCACAGACAGGAGGGGTAAGTTCTGGTGTTTTATTGCACAGCCAGATGACTATACTTAATAGCAATGTACTGTATATTTCAAAATAGCAAAAAGAAAGGATTTTAAATGTTCTCACCACAAAAGAAATGAGGTGATAAATATGCTAATTACTCTTATTTGATCAGTGTACACTGTATACATGTATTGAAATATGACTTTATACCCCATGAATATATACAATTGTTATCTGTCAGTTAAAAAAAATAAAACTAACTAACTAAATAGATAAATAAATTCTAAGTGGCTCCAGAGCTGGAACTTCTTGCATGACACTGCATTGTCCCCTGTGATCTCCATCCTCTACCATGTTTGTATGAAAGTTGATGAATATTGCCTTCTTGGACTTCAGCTGGGAAGGTGATCATTAGGTAACTCAAATTTTTCACGGCCCTGTGCAAGTTCCCAAATAGCTGCAAAAGTTTGTCAGGAATGTTGATTTGGGAATTACCAATAAATTTAACAAAGGTGAATTTGCAAATATAGAATCCTCAAATATGGACTCTAAATAATTTGCATTGATTTTGCTTATGTTTATGCATATGTCACAATAACTAGACTTTTCTGTCCTGGAATATTGTGTCTCAGTCAATTTAGGTATTTGATGTTAATAATATGAGAATAAAAAATAAGTTATATTCCTATCTACTGTAGTAAGACAAGAAAGGGAAATAAAAGATATATATATATATCTTATATATATATTATTTATGTGTGTGTGTATATATATATATACACATATATATATTTACATATATATGTATATATATATTTACATATATATGTGTATATATATATATGTGTATATATATATATATATATACACATATATATATATGGAAAGAATAAATAAAACTCTGCTCATACTTCCATGATTATATATGTAGGAAATCCAAAAGCATGAACAGCAGCAAAAAGACTCTTGGAACTGATAAGTGATTATAGCAAGGTTGAAGAATACAAAGTTAATATACACAATTTAATCACTTTATATCATTGTAATAGGGTCCTCCAGAGAAACAGATGCAACAGAAGATACACATACACACACACACACACACACACATGCACACACACACATACAGAGAGAGATAGATAGATATAAATATACATGAAGAGGTGAAGAGGAGACTTATAATGGGAATTAGCTTGCATGATTATGAAGACTGAGAAATCCTACAATATACCATTGGTAAACTGGCTAGCCAGGAAAGCCAGGGTTGTAATTCTTTCTGAACCAAAGGGACTGAGAACCAGGGGAGCCCAGTGGTGTAGTTCCCAGTCCAAGACCAAAGGCCTGAGAACCAGAGGGGCACTGGTGTAAGCCCTGGAGTTGAAAGGTCTGAGAATGAAGAGTGTTATTGCCCAAGGACAGGAGAAGATGAATGTCTCAGCTCAAAGAGAATGAGAAAGAGATTTCACTCTTCCTCTCAGTTTTTGTTATATCCAGGCCTTCAACAGATCGTGTGATACCTGCCCACATTGGTGAGGGTGGATCTTCATAATGTAGTTACTGACTCAAGTGCTAATTTATTCTGAAAACACCATTACAGAAACACCTGTTTTAGCAGCTATCTGAACATCCTTTGACCTAGTAATATTGACATATAATTGACCACCACAACCAGATGAACAAATAGGAATTGAAATTAAAAATATACATCATTTATATTAGCACCACAAAAATGAAATAATTAGGTATAAATCTAGCAAAATATGTACAAATTATATATAAAAAACTATAAAACTCTGATGAAATAAATTTAAAAACTAAATAAATGGAGAAGTATTTCATATTCATGAATAGGAAGACTCAATATTGATAAGTTGTCAATTCTTCACAACTTGATCTGTAGATTCAATGCAATGCCACTCAAAATACCAGGAAGTTATTTTGTAGATATCAACAAATTGATTTTACAGGTTATATGGAGAAACCAAAGACCTGGAATAGTGAACGCATTATTGAAGAACAAAGTTGAAAGAGTAAGACTACCAAATTTCAACACTTATGATAAAGCTACAGTAGTTGAGATAGTGTGATATTGGTGAAGAATGGGAAAAAAAAATGGAGGAGAATAGAGAGCCCAGAGAAAAACCTACATAAATACAGTCACTGATAGTTGACAAAGGAACAAAGTTAATACAATGAAACAAAGATAACCTTTTCAAGACATGGTTCTAAAACAATTGGAAATCCACAAGCCAAAAAAAAAAATCTAGACACAGACCTTATATCTTCCACAAAACTTAATTCAAAATGGATCTTAGGCCTAAGCGTAAAACAAGTTGTACCACTCTAAGAAAATTATTGGAGAAAATCTAGATAACCTTGGATATAGTGATGACATTTTAGATACAACACCAAGGGCATGATCTATCAAAGAAATAATAGATAACCTGAACTTTATTAAGAATTTAAAAGCAAACTCATGCTCTATGGTAAACAATGCTAAGAGAATAAAAAGACAAGCCACAGAATGGGAGAAAATATTTCCAAAGGACACATCTGATAAAAAACTGTTATCCAAAAAGTACCAAAACTAGTAACACCTCAACAATATGAAAACAAAAATCCTAATGAAAATTCGACCTAAAACCTTAACATACACTTCATTAAGAAAACAGACAGATGACATATAGGCATATGAAAAGTGAACCTATGTCATCAGCAAAATGTAAATTAAAACAATGAGACATAATATGGTTTCGATCTGTGTCTCCAACCAAATTTCATGTTCAGTGTTGGAAGTGGGGCCTGGTGGAAGGTGATGGGATCATAGGGGTGGCTTTTAATAGTCTAGTATCATTATCCTAGTGCTGTTCTCATAATACAATTCTCATGAGATATGATTATTTGTGTGGCAGCCCCTCCCAACTCTTCCTCCTGCTCCAGTCATGTAAGACATGGGTGCTTCCCCTTTGTCTTCCACCATGCTTCAGAGTTTACTGATGACCCCCAGAAGCTGCTATGCTTCCTGCATAGCCTGCAGAACTGCAAGCCAATTAAACCTTTTATTTTTTATAAATTACTCAGTCTCAGGTATTTCTTTGTAGCAATGCAAGAATGGACTAATACAGAAAATTGGTACCAAAGAGTGGGACATTGCTAGAAAGATACTTGAAAATGCAAAAGCAACTTAGGAACATTTAATGGGCAGAGATTAAAAGAGTATGGAACACTCAGAGTAAAACAGGAGGATGAGAAAACTTTGGAACCCCCTAGACTGCTTAAATAGTTGTCACTAAAATGCTGATTGTGATATGGACAATAAAGTACAGGCTGATTAGGTCTCATATGGGGAAATAAGGACCTTATTGGAAGCCAGAGTAAAGGTCACTTTTGTTATGTGTTAGCAAAGAGACTGACTGCATTGTGTCCCTGCTGTAGGAATATGTGGAACATTGAACTTGTAAGTAATGATTTAGAGAATCTGGTGGAAGAAATTTCTGAGTGGCAAAGTGTTCAGGAGTTCACCTGTGTGCTTTTGAAAGCCTATGCTCATAGGCATGAAAAAGAAATAACTTGAAATTGGAATTTATATTTAAAAGGAAAGCAGAGCACAAATGTTTAGAAAATTTGCAGCCTAGTTTTGTGGTATAAAAGAAAAGCCCTTTTTTGGGGGAGGACTTCAAGTGGGCTGCACAAATTTGCACAACTAAAAGGAAGGCAAATTCTGATAGTCAAAACCAGAAAAAAGCCTCAAAAGCATTTTAGAGACCTCTGCTGCAGCCACTCCCATCACAAGCCCAGAGGCCTAGAAGGAAAGAATGGTTTTGTGGGCCAGGTCCAGGGCCCCACCACCCTGCACAACCTGGGGACACTGATCCCTGCATCTTAGTCCTAGATGCTCTATCTCCAGCCATGGCTAAAATGGCCCCAGAAACAGCTCGTGCCTCCACTTCTGAGGGTGCAAGTCATAAGCCTTGGCTGCTTCCTTGTGGTGTTAAGCCTGTGAGTGTACAGAGTGCAAGAGTTGAGGCTTGGGAGCCTCCACCTAGATTTCAGAGTATGTAAGGAAAAACCTGAATGTCCAGGCAGAAGCCTATTACAGGGGTGAAGCCCTCATGAAGGACCTCTACTCAAGAAGTATGAAGGGAAAATGTGGGGTTGGAGCCTCCACACAGGGTCCCCACTGGAGCACTGCCTAGTGGAGCTGTGAGAAAAGGGTCACTATCTTACAGACCCCAGAATTGTAGATCCATCAACAGCTTGCTATCCACACCTGGAAAAGTCAGAGGTGCTCCACACTAGCCTGTGAAAGCAGATGCAGGCCTTGTGCCTTGCAAATCCTCAGGGGCAGAGCTGTCCAAAGCCTTGGGAGGCTACCTCTTGCATCAATGTTCCCTGGATATGAGGCATGAAGTTAAAAGAGGTTACTGTGGAGCTTTAAGATTTAACGACTGCCCTGCTGGGTTTCAGATTTGTGGTGGGGCCTATAGCCCCTTTCTTTTGGCCAATTTCTCCCTTTTGCAACAGGAATATTTATGCAATGCTTATTACCTCCATTGTATCTAGGAAATAACTAACTTGTTTTCATGAGAGTCAAAGTCTCATCAAATTTCAAAGTCAGATGAGAATTTCAACTTTGGACTTTTGAGTTAATGCTGGAATGAGTTAAGACTTTGAGGGACTATTGGGACAACATGATTGTAATTTGCAATGTGAGAAGGATATGAGATTTAAAGCGGCCAGGGGATGGGGACATGATATGTTTTGGATATGTGTCCCCACCCAAATCTTATGTTCAATTATAATCTTCAGTGTTTGAGTTGGGGCCTGGTAAGAGGTGATTGGGTCATGGAGATGGTTTCTAATGGTTTAGTACCACCCCTCTGCTACTGTTCTCATGGTAGAGTTCTCATGAGATCTGATTGTTTAAAAGTTTGTGGCACTCCCCTCTCTCTTCCTCCTGCTTCAGTCTTGTAAGACATGCCTGCTTCCCCTTTATCTTTCTGCCATGAATGAAAGTTCCTGAGGCCTTCCCAGAAGCCACTATGCTTCCTGTACAGCCTGCAGAACCATGAGCCAATTAAACCTCTTTTATTTGAAAATTACCCAGTTTCAGCTATTTCTTCATAGCAATGTGAGAATGAACTAATACAAGATCCCACTACATACCTACTAGAATGGGCAAAATCCAGAGCACTGTCAATACCTAAAGCTGGTGAGGATGTGGAACAAGAGAAACTTTCATTAATTTCGGTTGGGACTGCAAAATTGCACAGTCACTTTGGAAGGCAGTTTGGCAGTTTCTTTCCAGAATAAACATACTCTTACCAAATGATCCAGTAGTCATGCTTCTTAATACTTACGCAAATGATTTAAAACTTACATCAGTGCAAAAACCTGCACTCAGATGTTTATAGCAGCTTTATTCATAATTGTCAAGACTTGGAAGCAACCAAGATTTCCTTCAGTAGGTAAATGAATAAATGAACTGTGGTACATCCAGAGAATGGGATATTACTCTGTGCTTAAAAGAATGAGTTATTAGGCCGGGCACGGTGGATCACACCTGTAATCCTAGCACTTGGAGAGGCCACGGAGGGTGGATCACGAGGTCAGAAGTTCAAGACCAGCCTGGCCAACATGGTGAAACCTTGTATCTACTAAAAATACAAAAATTAGCTGAGTGAGGTGGTGTGTGTCTGTAATCCCAGCTGCTTAGGAGGCTGAGACAGGAGAATGGCTTGAACTCAGGAGGCAGAGGTTGCAGTGAGCTGAGATTGTGCCACTGCATTCCAGCCTGGGTGACAAAGCAAGACTCTGTCTCAAAAAAAAAAAAAAAAAAAAAAAGAATGAGTTATTAAGCCATGGAAATAAATGGAGAAAATTTAAATGCTTATTAATAAGTGAAACAAGCCTTTTTGAAAAGGCTGCATATGTTACTATTTCAACTATATAAAATTTTGTAAAAGATAAAACTATGGAGACAGTGAAGATTAGGATTGGGAGGAGGAGGATGAATAGGCAAAGAACACAGGACTTTTAGGGCAGTGAAACTACTCTATATGATACTCTGATGGTGGATGCATGTCATTATTCACTTATCCAAATTCATAGAATGTGTAACACCAAGAGTGAACTCTAATGTAAACTATGGACTTGGGGTTATTATGATGTTTCAATGTTGGTACTTCAAATGTAACACATGTATCAATCTGATGGGAGATGTCAATAATGGGGGAGGATTCACATATTTGGGGAAAGGGGGTATATGAAAAATCTCTGGACTGTTCTTTCAATATTGATGTGAACCTGAAACTGCTCTAAAAATAAGGTATTCATAAAAATAGATATAACAATTATTACTGTGCACTATCTTAATAGATTTTTTGTTGATTTGACTAACTTGTGACTATGGCTACATATAAAACAGCTAAAGTGATGTATTCCTCTATATTATTTATTTTCTATTTTTTTTGTAATTTTTTTATGTCAGATGAGCAATATGCTGACATCATAAAGAGGTTTGAGGGGGGCACATCACACACGTGAATTTGAAAACTCCATCATTATACTTATGAATCACAAAAATATACATTTTCTTAATTGATTTACTCTGTCAACATTGTCCCTCTGCACCTGTCCTTTCATAATTTTCTCTCAGATTCCTTAATGTATGGCTTCAACCGTAATTCATAATGCCTGCATTCAATTATGTTTTAAAATGTACGGTTATTTACCACATTATTTAAATTCTAAATAATTATGAAATTTTAAATTAAATTTTAGCTATGATAGTATGTATCTTTTCAAGTCAAAACATACTCTCAGGAAATTATCATATAGTCTACACAAAATCAGAAGTATTTTAGCTAGTAAAGATGAAGCACAAGGCATATATGCAGAGACCACTCAAAATATTTTCTTTTTTTTAATTTTATTATTATTATACTTTAAGTTTTAGGGTACATGTGCACAATGTGCAGGTTAGTTACATATGTATACATGTGCCATGCTGGTGTGCTGCACCCATTAACTCGTCATTTAGCATTAGGTATATCACCTAATGCTATCCCTCCCCCCTCCCCCCACCCCAAAACAGTCCCTAGAGTGTGATGTTCCCCTTCCTGTGTCCATGTGTTCACATTGTTCAATTCCCACCTATGAGTGAGAACATGCGGTGTTTGGTTTTTTGTCCTTGCGATAGTTTACTAAGAATGATGATTTCCAATTTCATCCATGTCCCTACAAAGGACATGAACTCATCATTTTTTATGGCTGCATAGTATTCCATGGTGTATATGTGCCACATTTTCTTAATCCAGTCTACCATTGTTGGACATTTGGGTTGGTTCCAAGTCTTTGCTATCGTGAATACTGCTGCAATAAACATACGTGTGCATGTGCCTTTATAGCAGCATGATTTATAGTCCTTTGGGTATATACCCAGTAATGGGATGGCTGGGTCAAATGGTATTTCTAGTTCTAGATCCCTGAGGAATGGCCACACTGACTTCCACAATGGCTGAACTACTTTACAGTCCCACCAACAGTGTAAAAGTGTTCCTATTTCTCCACATCCTCTCCAGCACCTGTTGTTTCCTGACTTTTAATGATTGCCATTCTAACTGGTGTGAGATGGTATCTCATTGTGGTTTTGATTTGCATTTCTCTGATGGCCAGTGATGGTGAGCATTTTTTCATGTGTTTTTTGGCTGCATAAATGTCTCCTTTTGAGAAGTGTCTGTTCATGTCCTTCGCCCACTTTTTGATGGGGTTGTTTGTTTTTTTCTTGTAAATTTGTTTGAGTTTATTGTAGATTCTGGATATTAGCCCTTTGTCAGATGAGTAGGTTGTGAAAATTTTCTCCCATTTGTATGTTGCCTGTTCACTCTGATGGTAGTTTCTTTTGCTGTGCAGAAGCTCTTTAGTTTAATGAGATCCCATTTGTCAATTTTGGCTTTTGCTGCCATTGCTTTTGGTGTTTTAGACATGAAGTCCTTGCCCATGTCTATCTCCTGAATGGTAATGCCTAGGTTTTCTTCTAGAGTTTTTATGGTTTTAAGTCTAACGTTTAAGTTTTTAATCCATCTTGAATTAATTTTTGTATAAGGTATAAGGAAGGGATCCAGTTTCAGCTTTCTACATATGGCTAGCCAGTTTTCCCACCACCATTTATTAAATAGGGAATCCTTTCCCCATTTCTTGTTTTTCTCAGGTTTGTCAAAGATCAGATAGTTGTAGATATGCGGCATTATTTCTGAGGGCTCTGTTCTGTTCCATTGATCTATATCTCTGTTTTGGTACGAGTACCATGCTGTTTTGGTTACTGTAGCCTTGTAGTATAGTTTGAAGTCAGGTAGTGTGATGCCTCCAGCTTTGTTCTTTTGGCTTAGGATTGACTTGGCAATGCGGGCTCTTTTTTGGTTCCATATGAAGTTTAAAGTAGTTTTTTCCAATTCTGTGAAGAAAGTCATTGGTAGCTTGATGGGGATGGCATTGAATCTATAAATTACCTTGGGCAGTATGGCCATTTTCACGATATTGATTCTTCCTACCCATGAGCATGGAATGTTCTTCCTTTTGTTTGTATCCTCTTTTATTTCCTTGAGCAGTGGTTTGTAGTTTTCCTTGAAGAGGTCCTTCACATCCCTTGTAAGTTGGATTCCTAGGTATTTTATTCTCTTTGAAGCAATTGTGAATGGGAGTTCACTCATGATGTGGCTCTCTGTTTGTCTGTTATTGGTGTATAAGAATGCTTGTGATTTTTATACACTGATTTTGTATTCTGAGACTTTGCTGAAGTTGCTTATCAGCTTGAGGAGATTTTGGGCTGAGACAATGGGGTTTTCTAGATATACAATCATGTCATCTGCAAACAGGGACAATTAATGAATCCAGGAGCTGGTTTTTTGAAAAGATCAACAAAATTGATAGACCGCTAGCAAGACTAATAAAGAAGAAAAGAGAGAAGAATCAAATAGACGGAATAAAAAATGATAAAGGGGATATCACCACTGATCCCACAGAAATACAAACTACTATCAGAGAATACTACAAACACCTCTATGCAAATAAACTAGAAAATCTAGAAGAAATGGATAAATTCCTCGACACATACACCCTCCCAAAACTAAACCAGGAAGAAGTTGAATCTCTGAATAGACCAATAACAGGCTCTGAAATTGTGGCAATAATCAATAGCTTACCAACCAAAAAGAGTCCAGGACCAGATGGATTCACAGCCGAATTCTACCAGAGGTACAAGGAGGAACTGGTACCATTCCTTCTGAAACTATTCCAATCAATAGAAAAAGTGGGAACCTTCCCTAACTCATTTTATGAGGCCAGCATCATCCTGATACCAAAGCCGGGCAGAGACACAACAAAAAAAGAGAATTTTAGACCAATATCCTTGGTGAACATTGATGCAAAAATCCTCATTAAAATACTGGCAAACCGAATCCAGCAGCACATCAAAAAGCTTATCCACCATGATCAAGTGGGCTTCATCCCTGGGACGCAAGGCTGGTTCAACATACACAAATCATTAAATGTAATCCAGCATATAAACAGAACCAAAGTACAAAAACCACATGATTATCTCAATAGATGCAGAAAAGGCCTTTGACAAAATTCAACAGCGCTTCATGCTAAAAACTCTCAATAAATTAGGTATTGATGGGACGTATCTCAAAATAATAAGAGCTATCTATGACAAACCCACAGCCAATATCATACTGTATGGGCAAAAACTGGAAGCATTCCCTTTGAAAACTGGCACAAGACAGGGATGCCTTCTCTCACCACTCGTATTCAACATAATGTTGGAAGTTCTAGCCAGGACAATTAGGCAGGAGAAGGAAATAAAGGGTATTCAGTTAGGAAAAGAGGAAGTCAAATTGTCCCACTCAAAATATTTTCAAAGTGCTTTTGAAAATAGTATTCACTAACATCTTAATTTTGAATCAATACTCTACTTCCCTTTAAAAAATAATAAAAATTTTATTTATTTATTTAAAAATTACCTTCAGTGACACACTACAGGTAATTTTCAACACTGGGACTTTGGAGGGAGAGTTTCTGGTAGATGGTGGTGTGTGGCATTCATTGACATAAAGCCAAGATGAATTGTACTAAAAGGTAACCTTTTCTGCCATGGATCAGATGGAGCTTTTAAGGGCAAGTGCAGTGTCTGTCAACAGCACATCACTGTCAATCCTCAATTGCTGTTTTCAGAACAAAAATGAGGATAGTGGTGTTTTTTATACAAAACAAATGAACTGGTGAATAACCAAATTAGACCCAGCTTTCATGCTTTGTTTTTAAAAATATATTCTTTCTTCAACTTCTATTTTAGATTCAGGGTATATATGTGCAGTTTTGTTACCTGGATATATTGTGTGATGCTGAAGTTGGCACTATTAATGATCCCATCACACAGGTGCCAATCAGAGCACCCAAAGGTTAACTTTTTAACACTTACTCCCCTATACCCCTCCTCTAGTAGTCCCCAAGGTCTATTGCCATCTTTATGTTTATGCATACTCAAAGTTCAGCTCTCACTTATAAGTGAGATTCTGGTATTTAGTTTCTGTTCATGAGTTAATTCACTTATGACAATGGCCTTCAGCTGCATCTATGTTGCTGCAAATGGCATGATTTTGTTTATTTTTATAGAGGCATAGTATTGCATGGTGTACGTGTACAACATTTGCTCTATACAATCCACCATTGATGGGCACCTAGGCACCTAGGTTGATTCCATGTCTTTGCTGTTGTGAATAATGCTGAAATGGACATGCAGCATTATCTGTCTATCTGTCTGTCTATCTATCTATCTATATACACACACACGTGCATGTGTATTGAAGATATAATTTATCTTCACAAGAAGATAAATTATTCTACAGTTATTCACAAGAAGATACACACACACATATACACACACACATACACACACAAATACACAGTAATGGAATTTCTGGGTCCAATGATAAATCTCTAAATTCTTTGAGAAATCTACAAACTTCTTTCCACGGTGACTGAACTAATTTACAATTCCAACAACAGGGTATAAGCATTCCCTCTTCCTTGCAGCCTCACCAACATCTGTTGTTTTTTTTACTTTTTAGTAATAGCTATTCTGACTGGTGTGAAAGATTATCTCACTGTGATTTTGACTTGGATTTCACTGATGATTAGTGACAGTGAACATTTTTCCATATGTTTCTTGGCCACTTGTATGTCTTCTTTTAAGAAGTGTATATTCATGTCATTTTCCCATTTTGTAATGGGGTTGTTTTCTGTTTGTCAAATTGTTTAAGTTCCTTATAGATTCTGGATATGAGCCCATAGTAGATGCACGGTTGTCAATATTTTGTCCCATTTATTAGGTTGTCAATTTACAAATTCAATTTCAGAACTCTGTTTTGATCTGTTTAGTGTTTTATTTTTTTTCCTGATTCAATCTGGGAAGGTTGTGTGTTTCCAGAAATTTATCCATTTCCTCTTGGTTTTCTAGTTTGTGTGCCTAGAAGTGTTCATAATAGTCTCTGAGGAACTTTGGTTTTACTGTGAGATTGATTGTAATATTGCCTTTATCATTTCTGATTGTGCTTATTTGGATCTTTTTTTTTCCTTGTTTAGTCTAGCTAGTGGTCTACTGATTTAGTTTATCCTTTCTTTTTTATTTTTTTAAATTATACTTTAAGTTTTAGGGTACATGTGCACAACATGCAGGTTTGTTAAGTAGGTATACATATGCCATGTTGATTTGCCACACCCATTAACTCATCATTTACATTAGGTATTTCTCCTAATGCTATCCCTCCCCCTGCCCCCCACCCCATGACAGGCCCCAGGATGTGATGTTCCCCGCCTTATGTCCAAGTGCTCTCATTGTTCAATTCCCACCTATGAATGAAAACATGCCGTGTCTGGTTTTCTGTCCTTGTGATAGTTTGCTCAGAATGATGGTTTCCAGCTGCATGTCCCTGCAAAGGACATGAACTAATGCTTTTTATGGCTGCATAGTATTCCATGGTTTATATGTACCACATTTTCTTAATCCAGTCTGTCATTGATGGACATTTGGGTTGGTTCCAAGTCTTTGCTATTGTGAATAGTGCCACAATAAACATATGTGTGCATGTGTCTTTATAGTAGCATGATTTATAATCCTTTGGGTATATACGCAGTAATGGGATCACTGGGTCAAATGTTATTTCTAGTTCTACATCCTTGGACTAGTTGGACAGTGGATGCAGCCCACAGAGGGTGAGCCAAAGAAGGGCGGGGCATCGCCCCACCCGGGAAGTGCAAGCAGTCAGAGGATTTCCCTCTCCTAGGCAAGGGAAGCCGTGACAGACGGTACCTGGAAAAACGGGACACTGCCACACAAATACTGCGCTTTTCCAATGGTCTTAGCAAATGGCACACCAGGAGATTACATCCCGCGGGTCCCATGCCCACGGAGCCTTGCTCACTGCTAAAGCAGCAGTCTGAGATTGACCTGTGAGGCAGCAGCCTGGCAGGGGGAGGGGTGTCTGCCATTGCTTATGGAATGAGACCACCACTTCTCCTGTTGTCCTTCCCAGCTTCTCCCCTACCTCCTCTTTTCCCTAGTTTATAAGACAGGAGAAAAGGGAGAAAGCAAAAAGTTGGAAAGAAACAGAAGTAAGATAAATAGCTAGATGACCTTGGCGCCACCATCTGGCCCTGGTGGTTAAAATAATAATAATAATATTAACCCCTGATCAAAATTACTTGTGTTATCTGTAAATTCCAGACATTGTATGAGAAAGCACTGTAAAACTTTTTGTTCTGTTAGGTGATGCATGTAGCCCCCAGTCACGTTCCTCATGCTTGCTTGATCTATTATGACCCTTTCACGTGGATCCCTTAGAGTTGTAAGCCCTTAAAAGGGCTAGGAATTTCTTTTTCGGAGAGCTCAGCTCTTAAGATGAGACTCTGCCAACTCTTCCAGCCGAATAAAAACCTCTTCCTTCTTTAATCTGGTGTCTGAGGAGTTTTGTCTGGGGCTTGTCCGGCTACAGCTGAGGCTTGAGTATGTAAACAAAGCAGCTGAGGAAGCTCCAATGGGGAGGAACCCACTGCAGCTCAGCAAGGCCTATTTCCTCTGTAGACTCCACCTCTGGGGGCAGGCATAGCTGAACAAAAGGCAGAAGAAACTTCTGCAGACTTAAGCATCCCTGTCTGACAGCTCTGAAGAGAGCAGTTGTTCTCCCAGCATGGTGTTTGAGCTCGGAGAATGGGCAGACTGCTTCCTCAAGTGGGTCGCTGACCCCCGTGTAGCCTAACTGGGAGACACCTCCCAATTGGGCCGACTGACACCTCATAGTTTATCCTTTCAAAGAACCAACTTTGGCCGGGCGCAGTGTCTCACGTGTGTGATCCAAGCACTTTTGGAGGCCAAGGCAGGCAGATCATGAGGTCAAGAGAAAGAGACCATCCTGACCAACATGGTGAAACCCTGTCTCTACTAAAAATACAAAAATTAGCTGGGTGTGGTGGCGTGTGCCTGTGTACCAGCTACTCAGGAGCCTGAGGCAGGAGAATTGCTTGAATCCAGGAGGTGGAGGTTGCAGTGAGCCGAGATTGCATCACTGCACTCCAGCCTGGTGACAGAGTGAGACTCCATCTCAAACAGACAAACAACAAAAAAGAACCAACTTTTGGGTTCATCAGTTCTTTATATGGATTTTGTTTCCCCATTTTATTCAGTTTTGCTCTCATGATAGTTATTTCTTTTCTTCACTAGTTTTGGGGTTAATTTCCTCTTGTTTTTCTAATTCTTCTAGGTGGACAATTATATTGTTAATTAGAGATCTTTGTAACTTCTTTGAGATAGGTGTTTAGTGCTATAAACTTTCCTCTTAAAACTACTTTTGCTGCATCCCAGAGATTTTGGTTTGTCATGCCTCTGTTTTCATTTGTTTCAAAGACTTAAAAATTCTTCCTGTATTTCACTGCGTACTCAAAGTCATTCAGGAGCAAGTTAACTTCTATTTAACTGTGTGGCTTTTGGAAGTCTTCTTGGTATTAATTTCTATTCTTATTCCACTGTGTTCTGAGAGTATGGTTTGTGTGATTTTGATTGTTTTGAATTTTTTTAGACTTATTTTATGGATGAGGATTGAGCTCCATGTTCAGATGATAAGAATGCATATTCTGCAGTTGATGGGTCAAGTATTCTGTAGATGTCTATTAGGTCCAATTGCTCAAATATCAAGTTTAAGTTCAGAATTTCTGTGTTAGTGTTCTACCCCAATCATCTGTCTAATGCTGTTAGTGAGCTGTTGAAATCCCCCGCTTATTATTGTGTGGCTGTCTAAGTCTTTTAGTAGGTCTAAAAGTACTTGTTTTGTGAAGGGTGATCCAAAGTTGGGTGCTAATGCATTTGGCGTAATTAAGTCTTGAGCTGAGCCCTGTATCATTATGCAATGCCATTTTTTGTCCTTTCTTACTGTTACTTTGAAGTTTGTTTTCTCTGACATAAGAATTGTGACCCTGCTCTTTTTTGTTTTCCATTTGTGTGGTAGATCTTTCTCCAACACATTTTGTTGAGCCTATGGGTGCCATTACATATGAGATGAGTCTCTTGAAAACAGCAGAAAAATAAGTCCTTTTTAAAAACCCATCTTGCCACTGTGTATCTTTTAAGTAGAGTGTTTACACCATATACATTCAGTGTTAATATTGGTGTGTGAGGTTTTGATCCTATTGTAAAATTGTTAGCTGTTTGCTTTGTAGTTTTTATTGTGTGATTGTTTCGTAGGGTCTGTGGAGTATGTACATATGTGTGTTTTGTTAATAGCAGACCTTGTTATTTTGTTTCCATGTTTAGAACTTTCTTAATAATCTCTTGTAAGACTGGACTAGTGGTATGAATTCCCTTAGTGCCTGCTTGTCTGGGAAAAGTTTTATTTCTTCTTCATTTGTAAAGCTTACTTTGGAGGGATATAAAATTATTGGTTTGAATTTCTTTTAAGAATGCTGGAGGTAGGTTCCTAATTTCTCTTAGCTTTTAAGGTTTCTGCTGAGAAGTCTACTGTCAGTCTGATGGGTTTCCCCTTGTATATGGTCTACCCTGTTTGTCTAGCTGCCTTTAAGATTTTTTTCTCCAGCATTGACTTTGAACATTCAGGTGACTGTGTGGTTTGGTGATTGTATTAGTCTGTTTTCATGCTGCTGAGAAAAACATATCAGAGACTGGGTTATTTATAAAGAAAAAAAGTTTTAATGGACTCAGTTTCATGGAGCCGGTGAGTCCTCACAATCATGGCGGAAGGCAAAAGACACATCTTACATGGTGGCAGGGAAGAGAGAACTTGTGCAGGGAAACTCCCCCTTATAAAACCATCAGATCTCATAAGACTTATTCACTATCAAAATAACAGCACAGGAAAGACCCACCTCCATGATTCAATTACCTCCCACTGGGTCCCTCCCATGACATGTGGGAACTGTGGGAGCTAAATTAATGATAGGATTTGGGTGGGGACACAACCAAACCATATCATTCTGCCCTTGCCCCTCCTAAATCTCATGTTCTCACATTTCAAAACTAATCATGACTTCCAAACAGTCTCCCAAAGTCTTAACTCATTTCAGCATTAACTCAAAAGTCTACATTCCAATGTTTCATCTGAGACAAGGCAAGTCCCTTCTGCCTACGAGCCTATAAAATCAAAAGCAAATTAGTTACTTCCTAGATACAATGGGGGTACAGGCACTGGGTAAATACAGCCATTCCAGAGAGGAGAAGTTGGCCAGAATAAAGGGGTTACAGGCCCCAGGCAAGTCTGAAATCTGGTGGGTCAGTCAAATCTTACCAAAGTGATCTCCTTTGACTTCATGTCTCATATTTAGGTCATACTGATGCAGGAGGTAGGTTCCCATGGTCTTGGGCAGCTCTGCCCCTGTGGCTTTGCAGGATGTAGTCCCCCTCCTGGCTGCTTTCATGGACTGGCATTGAGTGTCAGCAGCTTTTCCAGGTGTGTTGTGCAAGCTGTCGGTGGATCTACCATTCTGCGGTCTGAAGGATGCTGGCCCTCTTCTCATAGCTCCACTAGGCAGTGCCCCAGTGGGGACTCTGTGTGGGGGCTGCAACCCTATATTTGCCGTCTGCACTGCTCTAGCAGAGGTTCTTCATGAGAACCCTTCCCCTGCAGCAAATGTCTGCCTGGACATCCCGACATTTCCATATGTCCTCTGAAATGTAGGCAGAGGTTCCCAAACCTCAATTCTTGACTTCTGTGCACCCACAGGCTCAAAACCATGTGGAATCTGACAAGGATTTGGGCTTACACTCTCTGAAGCCATGGCCTGAGCTGCACCTTGGCCCCTTTTAGCCATGGCTAGAGCATCTGGGATGCAGGACACTAAATCCTTAGACTGCACATAGCAGAGTGGCCCTGGGCCCAGCCCATGAAAACATTTTTTTCTCCTAGGTCTCTGGGCCTGTGATGGGAGGGACTGCAGCAAGTGTCTCTGACATGCCCTGAAAACATTTTCTCCATTGTCTTGGTGATTAACATTTGGCTTCTCATTACTTAGACAAATTTCTTCAGCTGGCTTGAAATTCTTCTTAGAAAATGGGTTTTTCTTTTCTATTGCGTTGTCAGGTTGCAAATTTTCTGAACTCTTATGCTGTTTCCCTTTTAAAACTCAATGCTTTCAACAACGCCCAAGTCACCTCTTTAACGCTTTCCTACTTAGAAATTTCTTTTGCCAGATACCCTAAATCATCTCCCTCAAGTTCAAAGTTCCAAAAATCTCTAGTGCAGAGGCAAAATGCTGCAAGTCTGTTTGCTAAAACATAGCAAGATTCACCTTTACTCCAGCTCCCAACAAGTTCCTCCTCTCCATCTGAGACCACCTCATCCTGGACTTCATTGTCCATATCACTATGAGCATTTTGTTCAAAGCCATTCAAAGGAAGTTCCAAACTTTCCCACATTTTTATGTCTTCTTCTGAGCCCTCCAAACTGTTCCAGCCTCTGCCTGTTACCCAGTTCCAAAGTTGCCTCCATGTTTTCAGGTATCTTTACAGCAGCTCCCCACTCTACCAGTACCAATTTACTATATTAGTCCATTTTCACGCTGCTAGTAAGAACATACCTGAGACTGGGTAATTTATAAAGAAAAAAGGGTTATTTAACTCACAGTTCCACATAGCTGGAGAGGCCTCACAATTATGGCAAAAAGCAAAACGCAAGTCTTACATGGCAGCAAGGAAGAGAGAACTTGTGCAGGGAAACTCCCCCTTATAAAACCATCAGATCTCATGAGACTTATTCACTATCACAAGAACAGCATGGGAAAGACCCACCCTCATGATTCAATTACCTTCTACTGGGTCCCTCCCATGACGTGGGAATTGTGGAAGCTATAATTCAAGATAAGATTTGGGTGAGGCACAGCCAAACCATATCAGTGATGTTCACTTTGCAGAGTATGTTGCATATGTTTTCTGGATTTTTTTATATCTAGATGTCTACCTTTCTAGCAAGATTTGGGAAATTTTCTTGAATTGTTTCTTCAAATATATTTCCCAGATTGATAATTTTTTCTCCTTCTTTCTCAGCAATGCCAATAAATCATAGATTTGGTTGCTTTACATAATTCCATACTTCTCAAATACTTTATTCATTTTTAAAATTTCTTATTTTCTTTATTTTTGTTGTACTGGCTTAGTTTGAAAGACCTGTCTTTAAGCTCTGAAATTTTTTCTTCTACTTGATCCAGTCTATTGATAAAACTTTCAATTGTATTTTTAAATTCCTTAAGCAAGATTTTTCAATGCCAGTAGTCCTGATTGATTTCTTTTTCAGATGTTAATCCTTCTTTAATTTCCTGGATTCTTCAGAAGTTTATTTGTTTTTATTCTCAATCTTGTCTTAAGTCTCATTGAACTTCTTTTCAATCCATGCTTTCAATACTTTATCTGTAATTTCTGAGTTTTCATTTTTGTTAGGAACCATTCCTGGAGAGCTAGTGTGATCTTATGGTTGTGTCATTACATTCAGATTTTTCATAGTGCCGTAGTCCCTGTGCTGGTTCCTTCTCATCTGGAGACAACAGCACTTCTTGTTTTTTAAAATATTTTTGAGTGGATAGGATTTTTTTCTTTATTCCCAATATTATCATTAGTATTATTTTTCTCTGCCTTTCAATTTTTTCCCCTCTCTAGGGAGTGTGACTGTAGATAATGCTGTGTTGAGTTTTTGGCTTTGTTTCTATAGCCTCATAAACTTCTTTTGGTAGGTTTTGTATTGGGATGTGCAGTTTGACCTACAAGCCCATAAATGGCCCTTATAGAAAGGAGCTGGCTGCAGCCAACATGGTTGTGTATATACTTGATCCTTGATTACTGGTAGAAGCTCCCTGTTGCCTCAGGCAATGGGCTGATTTGTGAAATACACAGTGGTCTGAGCTTTTTCCTCGGTCCTTGAGGGGTGGCAGCCACAAAGGGTAGGGCTGGAATGACAAGTTCTACCTACAGGTCCCCTGATGGCAGGTATAAAACCCAGCACCAAGGGAGAATCCAGTGGGCAGCCATAATCCTTGTAGAGGTGTGCTCAGGCATGGGGATGGAAAACCTCCTTGACCCCAAATTCTTTGCACAGAGATGGGAGTTAGACTAAACTCCTAATCCAGGAAAGTGGGTGCTGCAGATGTCTGGTCATGGAGCAAAGAGGGCCTCCCTCCATCATGATCTATGTCAAGGAAAAATGGGGTGGCTCAGGCTGCTGAACCAGATGAGAAGGTATTTTGAATGCCTGGAGATCTGCCTGGTTGTGGGGTAGAGAGAACCTTACTGCACCACAATCTATGTCCAGGAAGGCCATTGCAGCTCTAGCTGCTGAGCCAGGTGAACTGATGTTCTGAATGCCTGGAGATCTGCCTGGGTATGAAGAAGAGAAGGCCCTACTGAACCATGATCTATGTCCAGGAAGGGTAGCACACCTCAGGCTGCCGAACCAGGTCTCTGAATGCCTGGATTTCTGCCTGGTGGTGGAGCAGAGATAGACTCACTTCATTGCAGTCTCAGAGGAGCAGGGTAGGGCACACAACAATGGCACATGAAAATTAGTTCCAGGTCAACAAGCTGGCTTTGGCTGCAAGTCTCACTGCCCAGGAGAAACTGCAGCTGTAGTAGCTCTCCTCCTGCTCCAGGCATATGATGCAGAAGAGCACAATTCCAGTGCCAACTGTTGAAGCACTTTCCACAGTTCTGTCTGTAGAGGCCCCTATCTTGGTCCAGAACAGGTGCTCATCTCTGGCTTGAGGCTAAAATGCCTGCACATCCATGCAGCTCAGTCACCAATGAAGGTGGCTTTGTATGTGCAGGAATAAAAATGGTGTTCTGCTCTCAGTCCCAGCTCTGGGAAAGTGTGTGCAGTTTTTCCAGTGTTTTTCCCACATGACTTCTCCAAGCCTTTCCCCTAGTTAGCTTCAGGGTTTGAGAGAAACAATGTTCTCTCTATCAGCCTGGGTTGCTTGGGTCCACATTGAAAAGGTGATTCACAGCAGGAGGCTCTCTGTTTCTCTTATATATTAGGGCTTCACTCCTTTTCATCAGCTGGTCACCATCATGGAGACTGTTTGGTGATGTTCTCCTCTCTGGGATCTAGTGTGTCCTTAATGATTCCAGTTGATTCCCAATTTCCTTCTTGAATTAAAGCTCACTGAGTTGATCTTTATATATTTTTCTATTTCCAAATGGCTGAGGCATGCTGAAAGCATCCAATCTGCAATCTTGGGGAAATAAAAACACAAAACAAAAAACACCCATGCCTTTTTTACACTTCTGACTCTCCTGCAATAGCGGTCACTTTTGGTATGAGTCAAGGCCAATCTTCTGTTCATACACTACAGCATCAGAGAGGTGTTAAGAATATACCTCTTGGCCAACTTCATTGGCTCATGACTGTCATCTCAGCAATTTGGAAGGCTAATGTGGGAGGATTGCTTGAGACCAGCAGTTCATGATCAGCTTGGGCAACATAGTGAGACCCCATCAGTACAAAATAAAAATTAAAAAAAAAAATCAGCTTAGTGTGCTGGTGTGCTCCTCTAGTCCCAGCTCCTTGGGAGGTTGAGGTTAGAGGATCATTAGAGTCCAGGAGTTCAAGGCTGTAGTGAGTTATGATCCTGCCATTGCACTCCATCCCCAGCCTGGGTGACAGAGCAAGAATCTATCTATGAAAGAAAAAAAAAAAATAGAATATACCTCTATTTGTAATAGCTGACTTTCTTATTGCTTAATATAGCAATGCTCTGTATCTTCCCTTATTCAACTGACAATTAGAACCAATGTGCAAACTAAAGCATTGAATTAAGACCATCTTTAATGTGGTATCAATATTATCCAAACCCTTCCTTGGCCCAGGTTAAGACTAGGCCCAGCCAGTATTTGTGGATTCCTATATGAAATGTCCATAGGCAATTTTTTTGGTTTCCAGTTGGTAAACATGTTAGGAGTAACAAAGATTGACCTTAAAGTAGTGGCAGTAATTCATCTGTCATTATTTGTTATGGACTGATTTTTTGTGTCCCCCTAATGCTCATATGTTAAAGCTTTTACCCTCAATGTGATTTTATTTGCAGATAGGGCCTCTGTGGAAGTAATAAAGGAGATCATATAGGTGGGATCCTAATTGGAAAGGTCAGTTGCCCTTATAAGAAGAGACATCAGAGACCTATCTGTCTGAGAATACTTAAAAGAAGGGTTGCTTGAGGACAAAACAGCCACGTGCAAGCCAGGAGGGTGGCCCTCATCAAAAAGTGGACTCTGCTGGAAGCTTGACTTTAACTTAACAGCTTTCAGTATAGAGAATGTAAATTTCTTTTGTTTAAGCCACCAGTCTATATTATTTTGTTATGGCTGCCTGAGTTACCATGTCCTTTGTACATTTCCAGCTGTGTAAAATTTAAATATTTCTTACATTTCTTCTCTGGATCTAGCATCAGAGTACGTTGTATTTTTTTTTTCCTTCTCTCTTTTTCTTTCATTCTTTACTAAAAATATCTTTTAAGAGAGTTTTTTTTTCTTAAAGAAAAATTTCCTTTTCCCCTTTCTTGCCTTCTTTTTATACACTTATAAAATTTAAAACATTATTTTTGTTAAGTAAGTCAGAGAACACAAAAATTCATACAGTATGAAAGTTCTTCATTCTATGTCATTCTGTTTACTTTCCACAGAAACAGTAATAAAATGCCATTAATAAGATATGCATTCTTTGAGACCTGTATATATTCATTTATACGCATCTATCATACTTAAAGTACTCAAAACTGTTTACTTTTTTATAAAAATATTACATTTTGAAACTTTTCTTTTTATTTAGCACAATTTCTGATTTATCTTTCCTGTGAATGTATCTAGGTTTGTTACTCTATTTTTAATGGCTTTATTTTGTTCTTACTTTGAGTATGTAATTTTTATATATCCAGTCTTCTGTTAAGATATATCATGTTATCCCTAATTATTATGACATTTGCAAATGGTGTACATACGTATTTGTCTCTGAAGAGAGGTTCCTTGAAGTAGAATGATAGTCCAAATATTTAATGCACTACTTAATATTGACGAATACTGCAAAATGCTGCCGCATTTTAGATTGTTCTTAAACCAATGCTCAGTTGGACTTCAAATCTTAGTTTATTTATAACTCAAAATATTATGAAAAGGAAGTAATACTCTCCAGAGGATTCTAACAGATACAGAAAAATGTTAATGGTTATTTGTTTTTATTTTGCAAGTGAAAAAGGGACTGACTTTCCTGAGGTCCCTTGATATTATCAGGAATTCTATAAACGTAGGACAAAAAGGAAAAAAGGCAGTGATAACAAAAACAAGATCAAATTCATGATGAATTTTTGAGCAAACTACATAACCTAAAATACATAAAGCAGACATTTCTAGTATTCTAGAAGAAATAGAAAATGCCAGAACATAGTGGGGTGCTTTCATTTACCTTACTCAGAAAATGATAGATTAATATTGGATGAAAAACAAAACAAAACCAAAAATATCACAGTACATTTTCTATGAGAAACCAATTTAAATAAAAATAGTACAGAAAGTTTAAAAATATCAGTTTGGAAAGGAAATTATATTGTAAATTGTAGAAAAAAGATTAAAATTGCGATAAATGATAAAATAAGCATTAAGTGACAAATTAAGATTTTATACATGAGTGAAGGAATATAAATATGTAAGAATGATAATTAAGAACATATGCTTTCCTAGAAATGGACTCTAAACACATACCAATTGACAGAAATTGTGATAAGAAATGTAATTAAATATTTCATACACACCTCTGAGAAACTCTTACAGAAATCAGATTAATAATTTTTTAAAATAGAAATTTTAATGACATAATTATTAACTAATAAGAAACTCTAAGAGAGGGCGGTGGAGAAATTTTCCATTATGTAAATACTAAAGTGTGTCTGGCAATCAACAGTAATAAGAAATTAAGATAAAGTAAATCATCTCTACAATGAATGTGGATGTCAAAATTAAACTGAGAAGCCAAAACATTTGCTTACATATTTGTTTTTATACAGAGAATTTCAAGAAGCATTCTGTTTCACAAAATAAGTGATACCTGTCTATTTTCTGCTAGTGCCATTTCACTTACTTATGGCTAGCTTTGTTTTTCCATGTGAAATATCCAAGCAAGGATATTTTCAGTGTTATTTTTATCAGTCTATAAATTTTTAAACACCAATGACATCCCAAACAGTATTCTAGACACTACAAAGAAAAGTTTCAAAGAAATGCTATTTTCTTAGAAATGGTTATTATTTTAAAAATTTAGTACTACTGCCGTTTTTCAGTAACAATAGACAAAAATAAAGAATTATGTCTCTGCCCATGATTTAACCATTGAATTATTATTCTTTATTTTACCTAGAGTCCTATGATATGGTGATTTGTTAGATTGATAAAGAAATTCTTCTTTCTAACTGCTTGCTTTCTCATTCTGACATCTTTTCAACAAATCGCTGTTGTTTTACATCACTTTCTATTTAAGTAGGGTTTTTTATGTTTACTCACTTATTTTCCTATTGTTCCACATACAGTTATGTAGATTCAATTGTATTATTTTTAATTGTTGTGGATACATAATAGTTATACATTTTTGAGGTTACATGTGATATTTCGATACAAGCATACATGATTCCATTCTTAAGCTACAGATTTGCACATCTGTCCTCAGCTCTGAAATGATGCCACAGATAACGTTGGGATATATCAGTTTTGGAAACATATCAGAGAGAAATGAGTACACTTATTTCCCAAATGTCACTTAAAGTGTTGTATTCAGGTCCTCAATAACTCACCAGTAATATTGCTAGGTAGTAAAAATAGTATGTACAGAAAGGCTTAGACTTGTAGTGATCCAAGGTCAGTGCAGTAGGAGTGACCCTTCCAGGGTGCAGGCAATAATTCAAACGTGAAGACAATAACAATTAAACTGATGAAGATTGGTCAGTTTTCTGTCACTGTAAGCCTATCTTTTTTATATATACTTTAAGTTCTGGGGCACATGTGCAGAATGTGCAGGTCTGTTACATAGTTATACATGTGCCATGGTGTTTTGCTGTACCCATCAACCCATCATCTATATTAGGTATTTCTCCTAATGCTATCCCTCCCCATGTCCCCCACCCCCCAACAGGCCATGGTGTGTAATGTTCCCTTCCCTGTGTCCATGTGTTCTCATTTTTCAACTCCCACTTATGAATGAGAACATGCAGGGTTTGGTTTTCTGTTTTTGTGTTAGTTTGCTTAGAATGATGGTTTCCAGCTTCACCCATGTACCTGCAAAGGACATGAACTCATCCTTTCTTATGGCTGCGCAGTATTCCATAGTGTAAATGTGCCACATTTTCTTTATCCAGTCTATCATTGATGGGCATTTTGGTTAGTTCCAAGTCTTTGCTATTGTGAACAGTGCTACAATAAACATACATATGCCTGTGCCTTTATAGTAGAATGATTTATAATACTTTGGGTATATAACCAGTAATGGGATTGCTGGGTCAAACGGTATTTCTAGTTCTAGATCCTTGAGGAAACACCACACTGTCCTCCACAATGGTTGAACTAATTTACACTCCCACCAGCAGTGTAAAAGTGTTCCTATTTCTCCACATCCTCTCCAGCATCTGTTGTTTCCTGACTTTTTAATGATTGCCATTCTAACTGGCATGAGATGGTATCTCACTGTGGTTTTGATGTGCATTTCTCTTGGTAAGAATAAGATAGTCTTTCCTCCAAAAAATGTTTTGGGTCTCAATTCTAAACAATTTTAGTTGTTGTGTATGTATAAGCATACAGTACATACACATACACACACATTTTTGTCAAATTTGCATATTTGTTATCCTTTAATGCTGTCCTTTAATAAACATTTTGTTATACATTAAAGGTCATTTGGAGAGTTTCCAGTTATACAGTTTGCCCATGCCACTTGCAGACTTTGCTGCATACATTCCTTTGAAAATTAGTATCAGGTTTTGGGCAAAGTCACCTTCTTCAACTCCTGCAGAGCTATAGGAGTTGTAGTGGGCCCTTCAAGGTATAAAATTATACATGAAGTGACCCATTAAGGGGCTAATTACACTTAAACATTTTAATAAATCAATTTATTATATTTAATTTAATTCCATTCAAATGATATTAACTAAGTGCCAGCTCTATATTAAGCTGCTGAAGACATAGCAGCAAAGACTTTGAGCTCCTTGCTCAAATTACGGATTTTAATGTTTAATGATTAGTGATGTTTAGCATTTTTTCATATGCTTGTTGGCCTTTTGTATGTCTTCTTTTGAGAAGTGTCTGTTCATGTCCTTTGCTCATTTTTTAGTGAGGCTGTTTTTTTTTTGCTTCTTAATTTGTTTCCCATAGATTATGAATATTAGAACTCATTGAATGCAGAGTTTACAAATATTTTCTCCCATTCTGTAGGTTTTGTGTTTAATCTGTTGATAACTTATTTTGCTGTAAAGAAACTTTTTCATTTAATTGGGTCCTATTTATCAATTTTTGTTTTTGTTGCAATCTGCTTGTTGAACTAATACATTTATCATTATGTATTGCCTTTTTTGTCCTTTTTGATCATTGCTTTAAAGGCTGTTTTGTCTGAAATAAGAATAGCAACCTCTACTCTTTTTTGTTTTCTGTTTGCTTGATAGCTCTTTCTCCATTCCTTTACTTTGAGCCTGTGGATGACATTGCATGTGAGACGGGTTTCTTGACGACAGCATATAGTTAGGAGTTGCATGTTTATCCAATTTGCCATGCTGCACCTTTTAAATGCGGCATTTAGAAGCAAATACTAAGGGAATTTATAACCACCAGAACAGCTTTACAGGATGTCCTCAAGGGCACGCTAAAAGTGGAAATGAAAGGTTGTTACCAGCCACCACAAAAACACACTTAAATACATAGACCACTGACACTAAAGCAACCTCACAGTCAAGTCTACATAACATCCAATTAACAACATGCTGTTAGGATCAAATCCATACAAATCAATATTACCTCTGAACATAAATGGTGTTCATAGTCTTAACGTGACTATTTAATCCCTCAGCTCTTGAATTGTTTTACTGGATTCCTTAGATACCTTGGATTGGGTTTTTAATGTTCTCCTGAATCTCAATCTTTGTTGCCATCTAGATTCTGAGTACAATGTCTATGTCATTGTAGCCATTTCAGCCTGATTAAGAATCATTCTGGAAAGTGACTGCAGTCATTTGGAGGTAGAAAGACACTTTGGCTTTTAGAGTTGCCAGAGTTCTTGCAGTAGTTCTTTCTCTTCTGTATAGGCTGATATTTTCCTTTAATCTTTAAAGTTGCTGTCCTTTTTATGGGGCTCTTTGCTTTCATATTGTTTGATGGTCCTGAGGTTTTCACTGTGGTATAAGTTGGATATAGTCAATTGGCTTCCTTTCTGAATGATTTCAGGGGGCCAAGGCTCAGCTCAGCACTCCTGTGTTGCTTCCTCTAATGCTGGGTGCCTGAGATAAGGCCTATGACTTTCTTCTCTAGCCCCTTTACCTCAAGCACTGCTGTGCTGGAGGAACCAAGGTGTTCCTGGTCTGCTGGCAACACTTTGACTGGGGTGCTGACAAAAGCACTTCATTGGGGCAGTGTCAGCAGGTTCTGTACTCGTGCATATGTTCCAGTGGCAACAGGGTGGTGGTGGGACAGCAGGATTTGTTCACACTTACAAAGTGGTTGGAGGAGACTGTGGTTGAGTGCATTTTAGCAAAGTGGTGCGAGGAGGCTTTGGGTGGCTGCAGATTGGTGGAGTCTCATCTGCAAAAGCTCTCTAACAGTTAGGTGGGATTTGCTGGTAAAAGAACTACGGTGATGTACACTGGGAAGCTCTCCAGCTGGGCATCTAAGCCTGTACTGCAGGTGGGTGTGGCAAGGCAAGGACCCTGGAAGACGCCAACAGACAGGGGGACCATCAAAACAGACTGCCCTGCTCTCACATGTGAGATAGCCCTGTTCGGTCCAAATCTAACAGTTAACAAGTGCTAAAGTCACCTAGAGGATCATGGCTTTGGATCTCTCAGATATGGTTTTTTTCCTTTCTAGGGCTGCAACCCAAAGTTTGGAATTGAGTTTGGGACAAAAGTGTCTCAAGGGATGCATGGATTCAGATGAGCCTTGCCAAATTTGCAGTCATCAGCCAGCAGGGGTCATTCCTCTGTTGCCTCCCTATCATAATGTACCTTATATTCATTATTCAATTCACCATTAATGGGTACTTAGGTTGATTCTGTGTCTTTGCTATTGTGAATAGTGCTGCAGTGAATAAATCAATGCATGTGTAGTTTTGGTAGAATGATTTATTTTCCTTTGGGTGTATATGCATTAATGGGATTGCTGAATTGAATGGTAATTCTATTAGTTTTTTGTGAAATCTCCAAACTGCTTTCCACAGTAGCTGAATTAGTTTACATTCCCACCAACAATGTAGACATATTCCCTTTCTATTCTGCCTCACCAACATCTATTTCCTGACTTTTTGATAACAGCCATTCTGACTGGTGTGAGATAATATCTTATTGTGGTTGTGATTTGCATTTCTCTGATAATTAATGATGTGATTAATTTTTCAAATGTTTTTGACCACTTATATATCTTCTTTTGAGAAGTCTCTGCCCATTTTCTTTGCTCTCATTTTCATAGAGTTATTTGACCTTTGCTTGTTGATTTTTTAGTATTCCTCGTAGAATCTGTATATCAGAACTTTGTTTAGTGCATAATTTGCAAATATTTTCTTCTCAACCTATAAAAGTCATAGAAGAAAACCTACCAAGTACTCTTCCAGATATCAGCCTTGGCAAAGATTTTATGACACACAGGGAGTACTATCAACAGAGCAAAACAGACAACCTACAGAAGTAGAGAAAATATTTATTACATTTTCAGTTTCATTACTCATTATTGGTTTGTCCAGATTATCTATTTCCTCATAGTTCAATGTAGGTAGTTTTTATGTGTCTATGAATTTATCAGTTTCTTCTAGATTTTCCAATTTGTTGGCATGTAGCTGTTCATAACAGTCTCTAAAGATTTCTTGCTTTTTTTTTTTGAGATGGAGTCTCACTCTGTTGCCAGGCTGGAGTGCAGTGGTATGACCTTGGCTCACTGCAATCTCTGCCTCCCAGGCTCAAGCCATTCTTCTGCCTCAGCCTCCCTAGTAGCTGGGATTACAGGCATGTGCCACCACACCCAGCTAATTTTTGTATTTTTAGTAGAGATGGGGTTTCACCATGTTGGCTAGGATGATCTCAATCTCCTGACCTTGTTATCTACCCATCTTGGCCTCCCAAAGTGCTGGGATTACAGGTGTGAGCCACTGCACCCAGCCCAGATTTCATGTGTTTCTATGGTCTCATTTGTTATGTCTCATTTTATTTGGGTCCTCTCTCTCTTTTTCTAAGTATAGCTAATGGCTTGTCAATTTTGTTTATCTTTTTAAAAACCAACTTGTAATTATGTTGCTCTTCTGTGTAGATTTTTGGTCTCAATTTTATTTACTTCTGTTCTGATCTTTAGTATAATGTATTTTTTCTTCTACTAATTTTTGGTTTCTTCAGTTTTTGCTGACCTCATTTCTTGAGGTGCATTATTAGGTTGTTTAATTAACATATTTCAATTTTTTAATGTGGGAATTTATTGCTACAAACTTCTCTCTTACTGTTGCTTTTGTTGTATTGCATAAATTTTAATATGTTGCATTTCCATTTTCATTTGTTTTAAGAAATTTTTAAATTTCCTTCTTAATTTCTTCATTGACCCATTGGTCATTCAGGAGAATTTTGTTTAATTTCCATGTGTTTGCATAGTTTCCAAGGTTCTTCTTTCTAGTTTTATTTCTAATTTTATTCCATTTTGGTAAGACAAGATATTTGATATAATGTCTACTTTTTGAATTTTTTGAGACTCGTTTTGTGGTTTAACATATGGTCTGTATTGGAGAATGTTCCATGTACTGATGAAAATAATGTGTATTCTGCAGCAGTTGGGTGAAATGTTCTGTAAATATCAGTTAGGCCTGATTGGTCTAGTGTGTATTAATAGTTTAACTTGGATGTTTCTTTGTTGATCATCTGAATGATCTGTCCACTACTGAGAGCAGGGTGTTGAAGTCCCTAGTATGATTGTATTGCAGTCTTTCTATCCATTTAGATCAATTAATTTTGCTGTAAATACTTGGGTGGCTTGGTGTAGGGTGCATATATATTTATCATTGTTAAGTCCTCTTGCTGAATTTACCCGTTTATCATTATATAGTAACCTTCCTTTGTTTCCTTTTACGGTCTAATACAATTATAGCTACTTTTGCTCTTTTTCGGTTGCCAGTTGCATTAAATCTCTTTCTTCATCCATTTCAGTCTATGTGTTTTTATAGGTGAAGTCAGTTTCTTATAGGCAGAATACAACAGGGTATTATTTTTGTCCATTCATCCTTCCAGTCTTTTTATTACCAAATTCAGTCTATTTACATTTATTGTTATTGATTAGTAAGGACTGAGCAATGCCATTATCTTGCTTATTTTCTTGTTATTTTATAACTCTTCTCTTCCTTTCTTCCTTTTTTATTATATTTCTTTGTGATTTTCTCTGGTAGTATGTTTTCATTTATTGCTTTTTATTTTTAGTGAATCTAGTATAGATTTTTGCATTGTGGTTACAATGAGACAAAACATCTTACAGATATTACAAGTTATTTATAAGTGATGATCACTTACCATAAATTAAAAATAAAATAATATAAACAAAGAAAAAATGAAAAAAAATCACCTGCACTTTAACTTTGTTCTTCCTGCATTTTGACTTTTTGTTATCTCAATTAATATATCTTTAAATTACCTATCTCTTGACAGTTTTCTGTAGCTTTTACTGTTTTTTATGGCTTTGTCTTGTGCACCTCATACTGGAGTTATAAGAGGATTTCATACCACAGTTGCAATGTTAGAATATTCCGGGTTTGTCTGTGTATTTACTTTTACCAGTGGGTTTTATACCTTCAAGTGTTTTCTTTTTTGCACATTAGGGGGACTTTGTTTTCTTTCAGATTAAAGAACTCTCTTTAATGTTTCTTGTAAGAAAGTCTGATGGCAGTGAATTTTCTCAGCTTTTATATGTCTGGGAAAGACTTTATGTATCCTTCATATTTAAAGAATAGCTTTTCTAGTTACAGTGTTCTTAGATGACAGTTTATTTCTTTCAGCACTTTGAATATGTCATCTCACTCCTTCCTGGCCTGTATTGTTTCCATTGAGAAGTCTGTTGACAGATGAATTAGAGTTCCTTTATATTATTTGCTTCTTTTTTCTTGTTGCTTTCAGAATCCTCTCTTGGTCCTTGACCTTTGAAATTTTGATTATTATATGCCTTGGGCAGTTTTATTTGGGTCAAATCTGTTCAGTGTTCTCTGACCTTCCTGCACCTAAATATTTATCTCTAAAGTTTTGGCATGTTTCTGTTATTATTTCTTTGAATAAACTTTCTACCTCTTGCTCTTGCTCAACACCCTCTTGAACCCCAATAATTCTTAGGTGTGGTCTTTGGAGGTAATTTTCTATATCTTGTAGATGATCTTGTACCTTCTTTTTTTTTGTATTTTTTTTTCTCCTCTGACACAGTGTATTTTCAAATTGTCTCTAAGTTCTCTGGTTTACTCTGCTCCATGCCTTCTGCTATGGAGAACAATTAACACTTTTTTTAGTTTAACAAATATATTTCTTTCTTTTTCTTTTTTTTTTTTTTTTGAGACAGAGTCTTGCACTCTTTCTTGCCCAGGCTGTAGAGCAGTGGCACAATCTCAACTGACTGCATCTCTGCCTCTCAGGTTCAAGTGATCCTCCTGCCTCAGCGTCCCCTAGTATCTGGGATTACAGGCACGTGCCACCACACCTGTCTAATTTTTGTATTTTTAGTAGAGACGGGGATTTCGCCATGTTGGCCAGGCTGGTCTCGAACTCCTAACCTCAGATGATTCCACCTGCCTCAGCCTCCCAAAGTGCTGGGATTACAGGCATGAGCCACCGTGCCTGGCCAACAGCAAATATATTTCTTAGGTCCAAGATTTCTGTTTGATTTTTTAAATCATTTCAGTCTCTTCGTTAAGTTCCTCCAATAAATTTCTGAATTGGTTTTCTGTGTTGTCTTGGATATCACTGAGTTTTCTTAAAACTGCTATTTTAAAATCTTGATCCGAGAGCTCACCTATCACTATCTCAAGGCCAGCCATTGGTTCTCTATTTGTCTGTCTGGGGAAGTTGTGGTTCCCTATTTGTTGTTGTTTCTTGTGAACATATGTTTATTTCATTGCATTGAATGATGAGTTATTTATTCCAGTCTTCTCTGTCCAGATTTTTTTTTTTTTTTTTGAGACAGAGTCTCCCTCTGTTGCCCAGGCTAGAGCAGTGGCACAATCTCAGCTTACTGCCAGCTCCACCTCCCGGGTTCATGTCATTCTCCTGCCTCAGCCTCCCGAGTAGCTGGGACCACAGGCACCTGCCACCACACCCGGCTAATTTTTTGTATTTTTAGTAGAGACGGGGTTTCACTGTGTTAGCCAGGATTGTCTCGATCTCCTGACCTTGTGATCCGCCTGCCTTGGCCTCCCGAAGTGCTGGGATTACAGGCGTTCTCTGTCCAGATTGTTTAGGTTTTTATCAAATATATTTGCTTAGAGAGTCTTTGTAATTTACCTTTTGAATTCATTTTTATTTTTCTGCCAGGTTGTCACCTTCTTTTTGGCACTCAATGCTGCCTTAAGCCCAGGTTTGTCTCAGCTCTAGTAAATGATCAGAGTACTGCTTGTCATGAATGAGAGAGGTCCTTTTGTGGATATCCAAATGTTGTGTGAAGGCTGGTTATGGATTCATATGAAGAGGATCTGTGGAACATATCTTCTATAGTATGGTACTACTGAACAGCTACTCTGATTTGATATCTCCTTTGGCTAAGTTATAGAGAAGAGTTTCCAGGGCTGGGGATGGTAGTCTCCTCTCTCCCGTTTGTCACTGGCTGTTCTTTAGAACATTTCTGTCTTGAGGCTCTTCTGATGCTTCCTGTCGGTTGAGGGAGGAACTGGTTTCTTGCCAGGAAATCCCAGATGATGGGAAGTCTGGTTGTCCACATCACTATTGCTGTTTTCAGTATAGACACCATGAGTCAGAGATAAATTTTCTGCACACTTAATGCTGGGCAGATTGAGGGGTGGGACATTGTGGGTATGGAAGTCCCATTCATTACCATCTGCTTGGAGTTCTTTGAGTTCTGAGATATTGCTGATAATCTCAGCACTGTATATTTGTGTCTGATTTTCTGTGCAGGGAGGAGTAAAGCCAACTGCCTTATATGTCATCATTTTGGGAACAAAATGGCCTATAATTTTTTTTGATGTGTTATTGAATTCAACTTGTTAGTATTTAATTATTTTTGAAAGCATATACATATATTGGCCTTGTAGTTTTTTTTTTTTTTCTTGTGATGTCTTTGTCTGATTTTGATGTAAGGGTGATGCTCACCTCATATAATAAAGTTTGGAAATATTCCCTCTACTTCTATTTTTTGGAACATTTTAAGATAGATGGGTATTAATTTTTATTTCGTTGTTTGATATAATTCAGTCATGAACTTATATGACCCTGAGCTTTCCTTGTTGGAAGGTTTTTGATTCCCACTTCAATCTCTTTATTTGTTATTTATCTTTCAGGCTTTCTATTTCTTCTTGATTTAGTCTTCAGAATGTATGTTTCTAGAATGTTAACCCTATCTTTCAGGTTATTGAAGTTTTTGGCATACTATTGTTCATAATAGTCCTCTTTGACATTCCTCATGGAACTAGAAGAAACTATTTTAATATTCATATGGAACCAACAAAGAGCCCGAATAGTCCAGGCAGTCCTAAGTAAAAAGAACAAGGCAGAAAGCATCATGCTGCCCAACTTCAAATTGCACTACAGGGCTATAGTAATCAGAACAGCGTGGTACTGGTACAGAAACAGACACATAGACAAATGGAACCGAAAAGGCAGCCTGGAAATAAGGCTGCATACCTACAACCATCTGATCTTTGACAAAGCTGACACAAACAAGCAGTGGGGACAGGACTCCCTATTCACTAAATGGTGCAGTGATAACTGACTAGCCATATACAGAAAGCAGAAACTGGACCCCTTCCTTTCACCATATATAAAAATCAACTCGTGATGGATTAAATACTTAAATGTAAAACCAAAACTATATTAAAAAAAAACTCTGGAAGACATCCTAGGCAATACCTTTTTGGACATAGGCCCTGGCAAAGATTTCATGACTAAGACACCGAAAACAATTGCAACAAAAGCAAAAATTGACAAATATAAACTAATTAAACTAAATAGTTTCTACATATCAAAATAAACTATCAAAAGAGTAAACATCCTATAGAAATGGGAGAAAATATTTGCAAACTATGAATCTGACAAAGGTGTAATATCTAGCATTTATAAGTAACTTAAACAATTTTACAAGAAAAAACTAAACAACCCCATTGAGAAGTGGACACAGACATAAACAGAAAATTGTCAAAAGAAGACACAGATGCAGCCAACAAGCATATGAAAAAAGTTCAGTATCACTGATCATTAGTGAAACGGAAATCAAAACCACAATGAAATATCATTTCACACCAGTCAGAATGGTTATTATGAAAAAATAAAAAAAATAACAGATGCTGGTGAGGTTGCAGATAAAAGAGTGTGTATACACTGTTGGCAGGAATGTAAATTAGTTCAACTGTTGTGAAAAGCTGTGTGGTGATTCCTCAAACAGCTAAAATCAGAACTACCATCCCACTCAGCAATCCCATTCTTGGGTATATACCCAGCAGAATATAAATCATTCTGTTATAAAGACAGAAGCATGCATATATTCATAGCAGCACTGTTCACAATAGCAAAGACATGTAATCACTCTAAATGCCCATCAATAGAAGGCTTGTAAAGAAAATGTGGTACATATACACCATGGAATACTATGAAGCTATAGAAAAGAACAAGATCATGTTCTTTGCAGGAACGTGGATGGAGCTAGAAGCCATTATTTTTAGCAAACTCATACAAGAACAGACAACCAAAATACTGATGTTCTCACTCATACGTGGGAGCTAAGTGGTCGGAACACATGGATACAAAGAGGAGAACGGACACCATGGCCTACCAGAAGGTTGAGGGTGGGAGCATAGAGAAGAGCAGAAAAACTAATTATTGGGTACTAGGCTTAGGAACCTGCTGATGAAGCAATCTGTACATCAAACCTCCATGACAATAGTTTACCTAGCTAACAACCTGCACATGTACCCCTGAACCCAACATGGAAGTTAAAAAAAAATCATGTTGTATGTCTTAAGTATATACAAGAAAAATAGCTTAATAACAAAATGAAATAACAACAAAAACAGCATTTAGCTTAGGTCTTGGTATTTCATGAAATATCATGATATTTCATGATATTTTTATTTATTCATAAATAAAAGTATTTCATGATTTTTTTACATATAAAATATTTTGTTTCTCATTTTTATTAGCAGTTTCAATGTACTTTTTCTTAACTGAGTTTGAGATAGTTTGTGAAGAAGCAAAATTCACTTATTAAGTAGATGGCGAAAGCACCACAGTCCCAGAGGAAAACACTTTCTTCCTGAAATCTTACTTCTAACAGAGTAGCATTGTTATAAGGCATGTCTTTGAGAGGTACATTGGAAAGTGCCTCTGTGGAAAAGTACTTTTTTTTCAGTGTCAACAAAAGTTTGACTGATTTTTCTCTGTTGGGCAGGTGGACTATCTTTGCATAGTATGTTAACTCCAGAGCTGTTTTCTTGTGATAAGTGTATACTTTCTAAAAACTGAAGCCAAAGTTGATGAAAACGATGAGAAATAAAATATCATTCCAGTGTCAATATCTAAAGGCACATCCTTCATCAGAATTATATTTTAAATATCCATGAAGAAAAATATAGAGACTTACATATGTATGGATAAGAAGTTCTGATTCATCCAGTATTGATTGGATGCTCATATAGCAAGTAAAACAGCTTATTGGCAAATATAACAAGTGGTTTTCTTTTTAATCTCTAACATGCTGTTCTTAGCAGAATTAACTGTCGTCCTATCAGAATGTCATTGAATCATATAAAAGCAACCTTGTTTGTAGTGTGTCACATGGAAAACCTCTTAAACGTCCAAAAAGAATGTTTCTAAAAAATGTTTAAAGACTTCTCAAATACATAAATGTTGTATGAAGGAAAATATTAGACCATATGTGATTTACTTTGTAAGTCTGGAAATGGTTATTGTAGTTGTTCTAAAATTGCTTTTCTAAAAAGCTGCTTTTTACGTAGACTGTGAACTCCTTATGAATCAGAACCGTATGGTTGGTTCACCACTTTATCCCTGCCTCTAGTTGCCTACAACTTGATAGGCAAATAATATAATACATGTTTTGGGGAAATTAATGAAAAGTCAAAATAAAAAAGTAAAATAATGATTAATATATACTGAATGAGGTATCTCTGAAAAAAATATATATATATCTGAGTTCTACACTGTAGAATTCATTTTTATTCTACCTTGTGATTGACAAGCACAGGTTTTAGTAACACATAGTCCTTCTACATATGTCCTGTACTGCAACATAGCAGGTAAGAATGTGGTGTGAGCCAGCCTTGCTAAGCGGGTCATTACTGAGAGCAGGTCTGATCTAAGCTTTTGTTATCACTTCTGCAAAACAAATCTTTCTGTGGAGATGTTAGATAAGTGTTTCCTAGGAATCACATTTCCGTATCATTTGAGTTCAAATGACAAAGAGCAATTACATCTATTCTCTGTATCCCAGTTCAAAATACATGGAAGAATTCAAACTTGCGTCACATGTCTCCTACTAATTGAAGGCTTGGGAGAGGGCCTAGCAAAGCACTGCACACAGGCCAAACCCAGCTTTCTGCTGCCTTTTATAAATAACAATCTGTTGGAAAACAACCGCACATATTTACACATTTTCCCTGGCTACTATACACTACCATGACAGAGTTGAGGAGTTATGACAGAGAAGATATCACCCACACAGACTAAAAGATTCAGTAGCTGGCCCTTTGCAGAAAAAGTATGTCAATCCTTGGCTTTAGATTTCATAGAACAATTGTGTCTCTGTGTGGAAGAAGGGCAGTTTTCAGAGTAAAACACTGAATAGATATCCCATTAAGCACCTTGTATAGTTGGTGAGGGTTCTTTGTTGTATGACCAGCAATCCAAATCAGACTTCAAGGGGAACAAGCTACTGATATCCTAAGGAGGTTTTGTGGGTAGTGGGGGCTTAAGACACACCACAAACAACATTTTATACTGTGGTGATGTCAGAACCACCACAGTAATACAGTGAAGTCTATTATTTTAGGTGGCCGAAGGGATTTGGGATTGGACTTTAGCTGCTGACTGGAGGTGAAAACAGAATCAAGACTTAACAGAGGAGAAAAATAAGAGCTATGCAGTGGTTCCTAGCGAAGGGGTTCAGGACATATGAAAGATTCTTAAAACTAAGATTTAATTAAAGAAACAAGCACAAAATATCATCATATGGACCTTAAAAATGTATTAGATGTTAGGAAACAAGACAACAAATGTTTGGCACATGGATACTCAGGGCACACAACAGTTGGATAACCGCCTTAGGACAGAAAAGGTAAACTCAGGTTGCTCTGGCTGGTGAGTTTTAGTTCTTGGAAATACCTGCTTACGAAATTATTCTGAAACTGCATGGTGACCCTATGATGGTTCCATGTCTCCGCCACTGAAAATATCTTGGAGAATGCAAGGAAAGAGGATTGTATATTACAAAAAGAAAAACTAATAAAAACGAGACATGGATGACGAGTAGATTCAATGTATTAAAATCAAGTGTCTATTTTTAGTTCAGATTTTCTGAGTTGCTGAACCTAAAGATTAGATTTTTTTCACTTACTTGCTTGGTTAAAAATCACAGAGTTTGAATCTATTGGGCAAGTGCCCTGGCTGGCTATGAATTTAGAAGGGTTGGTAAGAGAGACATATATTCAGAAGGACAGTGTCTATGTGGTGTCCCAAGACAAGAAAAGAACACACTGTGTTCTAAGGGCAAACACTGATTGTACTTATAAAAGGAACAAGGCATGAATGAAAGCCTTCTGTGCAAATCGTTATAGTTGCATAAAAAGGAGTGATTGTGACAAAAGTAAATAAATAAAAAATAATCGCTATAAAGTGTTTTAACAGTGTAAATCAAGAGAATAAAAAGGTAGAGGGGATTTCACAGAATCATTTCTCTAAGCAACACTCCTTTTATCTTTGATGTCTCTTCTGTACCCAAGATACTTTCAAACCTGGAAAGAATCACAGGTTAGTGGAAAGGAAGAATTAGTGGAAAGGCTTCATAAATCCAGTTGCTCTTATCTCATTTTACAGAGGAAGAGACTGAGGGCTACAGAGGTGAATTATCCTGCTTAACATCACAGCTTCCTCTTTCCAACTGCAATGTTATTTGTACTTTCTGTGTTCCAATTACTCAGGGGTTTTGTCTCTAGGTTTTCTCATATTTCAATTGTTAATTTGCATTTTTATAGGCTGTGGAGAAAAAGGCACAGTGGCTACTGGCTTCTAGGGTCAGAAATTTCCATAAACCAGCCCCTAATCCTGCCTAAATTTGCTGGCCTCTCTAATTACCTATCTGCCTCTTGCTTTATGCTATGATTTGTGCTTTTGTGTCTGAAGCCACTGCTACCTAGTTTTGTTGACATAGTTTTGGATATGGTAACTCAGTGTACATGGTTCTCCTTCTCAACTAACCTTTCATATATGGAAATCCAGAACAGACTTTTTAATTTATAATTGATCCCAGACCTTGAGTATTCTTGCCTTTGGTATCAATTTTGTTTCTTGGAGAATTTATAATAAGCGTCCCATCCCCACACTGAGTTTGACAGATCTTCTGTGTGCTGAGACAAAGATTAGGATTAACCATAAATGATGACCCATTCTTCTGAATTCTAGATTCTCACTTGCCTACTATGTGCACAATGTAGTGCTGATACGTTCCTAGAATAGGGCTTGTGGTTGACCAAAATAACCAATTAACCTTAGCTCATTATATTCTGGAAGACTTTAGAAATGATCTAATGCATATAAATTTCCTGGTATAGAGTAGGGCTTCTCAATATTGGCACTATTGGTATTTTTGTTTGTATAATCCTTTGTTGTGGGGTGCTGTCCTGGGTTTAGCAGCATCTTGACCTCTATGCACTAAATGCCAGTAACACCTCACCCCATTATGACGATAAAAAAAGTCTCCAAATTATTAAAATTTCGCAGAGGATAAAACTGTCCTTTAATGAATATCACTAGTATAGACTATGGCACATAGGCAGTACAAAATAATTAGCTATATTTTTACCCAAATATAAATAAATTTTATATAAATAATTTTTTGTGTAATTTTTAAATTTTTTCTTTTTATTTATAATTTTAGACTCGGGATACATGTGCGGATTTGTTATATACATATATTGCATGATGCCAAGGTTTGGGCTCCTCATGTTTCTGTTGCCCATGTAATGAACATGGTATCCAATAAGTAGTTTTTCAACTCTTTTCCTTCTCTCTACTTCCCCACTTTTGGAATCCCAGTGTTTATTGTTCCCATCTTTGTGCCTGTGTGTACTCAATGTTTAACTTCAACTTAGTAAGAACATGTAGTATTTGGTTTTCTGTTTCTGCGTTAACTCACTTAGGATAATGGCTTCCAGCTGCATCCATATTGCTGCAAATAATGTCACTTTGTTGTTTCTTATGGCTGCGTAGTATTCCATGGTGTACACCTACCACATTTTCTTTCTTTTCACTGTTACAATAATTTATCTTGTATTTTACAGAAATCTATGAACAATTTTTAAAAAGCACTTCCTTATCCGGTATTGCATTCTTCTGGCAGCTGTCAAGTAGGCAATAAGTGTGTCAACAGCTTGAACAACAGCATCTTGCAAGGATATCAGACCAACGAACCACTCACCAAAGAACTTGGCACCTTTTTAATCTTGTTTTTAGTGCAAGGGTATATCCACTCTGATGGCAATCCTGTCCAGGCAAATCTTCACAGCATGCTTTGCAAAATCAGTGATTAGCAAATTAGTTAGCTTTGGCGCAGAGCTGTGTTCACTTGCCCATGACAACCTGGAAGCTGATTTTGATGCTGGCAATAGAATCTCTAGAATGACACATTTCTCTTTGTAAAAAGTAGAGTTGGATGTGCTTCTACAGGATTGTGTTCCATGTTCGGCGTGTGTGACAAGTAATGAATTCATTGATGTGTCTTCTAAGACAATCTTTATCTGTTTCTTTTGTAATCTTCCTTTGATTACAAGTTGGTTATTACCACCTACAGAACCATTTGTACCCAGTTCACCCAACAAAAATGCAGGGAGGTGTCTGGGGAGACAATACGTTTGTTTATAGAAATCTGTAAAGTTGACAAAAGAAGTTTCCTTGGTTCCTACTCAGACGACATAAGGAGGTTTTGTGACAAATTTCCTTTTCTCTCCAGAAACCATAACTGCATTGTCCCTACATGATGTGGAACACTCTATTCAGTAGCTTCTCATATGTGTAGTCTCTTTCTAAGCTTGCCCAAATAGAGCCTGTCTGATTACTGAATGAGATAACATCGTCTTTTTTTGCTGTCTTTTATCTTTTAGGCTTCATCTTTCTCTAGTAATTTATTCTCATCTGTGAACCTGAAATTCCTCTTTTCCTTCTTTTTATCGACAAACATAATGTCAAGGTCATCCCCTGGTTCAGCTGGTTCTTAAATATCACTTTCAGTCTTAAGAACCTTTACATCTTCTTCACCTCCATCAATATGAAGTATCTTTTTTGTTTTTCTCTTCTTTTTCTTTTGATTAAAGAAGATCAAGTCATCTGGATCATCATAAGCATCTCTTTTCCTATTGTCCTCTTCATCAGCTTCCAAATCTTTGTCTTCAGTTGGCTCTGGCTCCATTTCTTTTATTTTTGAGGGTTAGCTTTCCTCTGTTTAGGTATCCCCACCCTCATCTAACATAAATGACTTCTTTTTCTTCCTGCTCATAGTAGGATCAAAAATCATCTTGTCCCCAGATGTGGCTGTAGTTTGAGTGCGCTCGGCACGAATGGGAAGTCAGACAGGTCAGCCCCAGGCCTTGGCAGCAGCTCTGCTCCCATTGGTATCTCTCCCACTGCCACACTAGGCTCTTGCATCAGTGAAAGGGCTGCATTTTCTTTATCCAGTACACCATTGATGGGCACCTGGGTGGATTCCATATCTTTGCTATTGTAAATAGTGCTGTAATAATCATACAAGTGCTGGTGGTTTTTTTTTTTTTCAGTAGGACAATTTATTTTCCTTTGGGAGTATAACCAGTAGTAAGATTGCTGGATCAATGGTAATACTATTTTTAGTTCTTTGAGAAATCTCCAAACTGTTCTCTAGAGGGCCAAATATACATTCCCACCAATAGTGTATAAGTGTTTCCTTTCTTCTGCCACCTTGCCAGCATTTGTTATTTTTTGACTTTTTAATAGCCATTCTGACTGGTGTGAGATGGTGTTTTATGGTGGTTTTGATCTGTATCTTTATGAAGATTAGTGATTCAAAGCATTTTTAAATGTTGGTGGGCCACTTGTGTGTCTTCTTTTGAGAAGTGTTTGTTCATGTCTTGTGCCCACATTTTAATGGAGTTATTTGTTTTTACTTGTTAAGTTTCCTTTTTTTAACTTTTAGGTTTAAGGATACAACTGCAGGTTTGTTATATAGGTAAATTGTGTGTCTCAGGGATTAGATGGACAGATTATTTCATCACCAGTGTAATTAGGCATAGTAACCAATAAACAGTTTTCTGATCCTCTCCCTTCTCACATCCTCCTCCCTCAAAAAGGCCCTAGTGTCTGTTGTTCCCTTCTTTGTGTCCATGTGTATTTAATATTTAGTTCCTACTGATAAGCGAGAACATGTGGTATTTGCTTTTCTGTTCCCGCATTAGTTTGGTTGAGATTATGGCCTCTAGCTGTATCATTGTTGCTGCAAAGGACTTGATCTCATTCACTCTTATGGCTGTGTACTGTTCTATGGCATATATACACACATACACACGCACACATATACATTTTATATATATACACATATACTATGTGTGTGTGTGTGTGTGTGTATATATATATATATGGCACATTTTCTTTATCCAGTCTACCTTTGATGGGTATATAGGTTAAATTCATGATGCTGCTATTGTGAATAGCACTCTGATTAATTTTTGCTGAAAATATTTTCTTCCATTCTGTAGGTTGTCTGTTTACTCTGTTTTTTCATTTTTGCTACCTGGATCCAGCAGCTGTTCTTTTCTGATGTATGGTCTTCATTTTATCCACTGTTATTCTATTAACTACCTCTTACTTTATTAAACAATAATTTCTGGCTTATTTTAGACTAAGTGTTATTGCTTGTGTCTTGCAAACAAAAACCCTAATTAATACAAAAATTGATTATGAGGTAAGAGATCTTCAGGAAAATGCTGAATTTATTCCTGGCTGGGATAAGATGAAATGCATGACCCGAGATGAAAAAACAAAAAGAAGATTGCTTCTGATGGCATAGAATAATATATAATGAGAGAAGAAAAACTAAAAACACATACATTATTTTCTCAAGGTCCAAAAGGAAATCCCCAGCCTTTTGAGGATATATTTGAAAATACTAAAATAATTTCTTAGACCTTATGACCCTGGGCTAAGATCAGTAAACAACAACAAAAACAAATTAATATACCAGCACCACTGCCACCACCAAAGAAAATAATTCTCTGGGATGCTGGGTTAAAAAATCATGTGAATTTGTCAGACCTAATGTGAAAGTTCATACATTAATTAACAGAGAAGCAAATTACAGTAATATGACAGGGGTTATAAGAAGATGCATGAATTTGTATTACCTCAAACTCATAAACCCCAGAAACCCTTGGTGAGGTTTTTTCACACTTGCAGAAAACAATTCATGCATTTCTTCTTGCCTCAATCCTCATATTAGGCCAGTATTCAGATTCCAAATTCATCATGTTCTAGAGGTTAAAATGCTACCTGAGAAGAAAAAACAAATAGAAAGATTGCAGGGATTTGCTAATTTTATCACTCAAAACCTGATGAGTATTTGTAGAAATGGATTTTGAGTTTGCAGAAATATGGAAGTGAGGAATAAAACTTTAGCTCAGGTTGAATTTTCTCATAATGGTGAACTAATCAGAGACTTTGGCCATTATGTCTTCATGTAAATCTTAATCTAAGATTGTTGGATTTATATATCAGCTGGGTCTATCTCACTTATTTCTTCATTATATCCCTCCAGAAATTTCAGAAGTTGTTCTTTTCAAAAAGTTTTAGGGATAGGTTAATTAAGGAAAATATAGTATTATTTAAAAGGAGGAAAAAATAAGAAAACATGTTTTATTGGTTGCTCTCTTTCCACTAAGAATGAGTTAGAAAGGATTTAAAATTTCATCTCAGTGAGATTGGGAGGATCACAGGAGGTTGAGCCAAGAAATGATAAAAGTGTATGTGACTGTTATAATAGGCAGCAGAATAGGTGGGTATTAGAAATCCCTTACACCAATAAAGATCTCTACCTATGGTTAATTATTATGGGGTTCTTAGGAATAAAATAAATGTTTCTCCAAGGTCTTACCTGATTTACAAAAGCAAGACACTCCAGATGTGGCAGACAAAAGAACAGAGAGCAACCTGAGAATCATGGATCCGCAACCGTATTTTAAACTTGAGTCAGTTTATCAACCCAAGGGCCTTGAACATAGACAGGATTACCTATCTTGGGTAGGGTGGACCCCATTTGACATCACAGATAAACACAGTGAACTCATCCCTAGTCTTTTTGAAAGAAGCCTAGAGCAATTTGGGCAACTGTGCTCTAAGAAAATCAGTTTATTCATCTGTAAAATGATATAATTATGGTAGCTAACCTACAAATTGTTGTATTTAGGAAAATAAAATGCCTAAAACGTATAGAGAATAATACCTAGTACATACTAAGTACTTAATAATGTTAGCTATTATTATTATTAAATGCAAGTTCTTACAACACTTATCCCCAGGAAATATGCCATACTTGTATTTTACGGATTCTGTTGTTAGCTGTTGTGAACAGTAGTTATTTAAGCTATTCAGACAAATAAGAGGTCATCAGGTGTGACTGTATAAGGTAATCTGAAGCACCAAAGTAGAACAGTGTGAAAGTTGTCAGTCATGGAAGTTTTTAAAAGTCCTTCAATTTGTCCCCTGTTTAATCAGATATCTAATTTCCTTGAACTTGCGATTGGCTCTGTAGGTAAGGCTTGGCCACAGACCCCTGACTTTGAGCAAGAGGTACTCTTCTTTCTCTAAAATTTAGTAGTGCCTTAGACATACTCCTTATATCATTGATTGCATTGCATTGTAGTTTGTTGATCCTGTGTATTCTTACCCTGAAGAAGAACTCCTTATGAGACAAGGGAAAATATTATAGTACACTTGGTGGCAGGAAATTGGGACAAAAGTCTGCAGTCTTCCATTTAATAACCATTGCATTTTACCCCCTAGGTAGCATTTTTTCTGATTTTTCAAGCCATATAACCAAAATTCGTGTCTGTTATTACACTATTATATGGTAAAATGGTAGGAGTGTGGAGCGTAGGGTCAATCTTCCTGAATATAAAACCCAGGTTCACCATGAATGACCAGGTGAGCTATCAACATTCTCAGTGTCTCTGTTTTCTTCTTTCTAATATAGCATTGATATGAAAATTAAGTAGATCAATTCACATAAATCATTAAAGCAGTACCTGACACATACTAATGGCTCAGCATATTTTAAATTGCTACTGAAATATTCAAATAAAAAATCATAAATATGCTTCATTCACTGTTAATACAGATATTTGTTACTAGTATGAATTGTTTTACAATGTGTAAACAAATGAATGAATTAATTAATGAATAACTTTTTTTCTAAATATCTGATGTGTGTTGATTCACATTGTTTTTTTTTAACTTGAGAAGACTGGAGTATTAAAAGGTCACTTCTGATTTCACTACTATTTATTTTTAAGACTTACATGTGAGCTAGAACTTCACATTTGGAGAAAATACAAGACAATTACATGTAACCTCAAAAGATTGCCGTCCCTCAAGGTGTCCTTGACCTTGGCCATGCTGAGTCTTTGTTTATAAAAAGGAAGAACTGGTCCTTTCCTCACCATTTGCTCTCCTACAACGACTATGACTGCCTGTTCCCATAGTTCTGAGCAGGAAACGTTACTTCTCTATGCCTTCATATAGTTGAATGCAAAGGCTTTTCTTCCTTAAAAAATATAACATTTGTTTAAAATGCCTGCTGTCTTAGAGATAAATTTAACGTTCCAGTGAAAGTGTCCTTGCATATTAATATTTCTAAAATAATTATTCCTTAAAAAGCTCTAATTTATATTCTTGAAGACTGCATAATTTTTAACATTTGCAATATAACACTAAAATTGTGTTCTATATTCAACTTAAATAACTTTTTATGTTTTATTTCATGGTTTTATATAGTGTCTTACTGACATTTGCTATCCATATTTGAAATCTTATATTATTGCTGGTTTAATAGAGTGCATCTATAAAATAGTATACAAGATTGAACACTTACCATAAATCTCAAGAAGTTGGAGGAGGAAATGGCTCCAAACTATAATGTTTTAAAATGGCTTAGTGAAGCAGAAATTTCACTACATTTCTTTTGCTAGAAAACTGTTGCTGCAAAAACCAGCACTTAGAAAAGCAAGTAGAACTAGACATTTGTAATTAATAGTCAATTTTGAAAGAATTAAGAGCACTGTTGTTTCAGGTGAAGTACTTTGAAATGTAATTATATCTCCTTCTATTGGAAATTGTGATATAAATGTTCCAATTAAATTTAATTGATTTTACTTCTATTAAAAAAATCAGATATATAATTAATTATGTTATAGACTTAATATAGCCATGAGACCATATTATGTATCTGTATTCTCTCTCTCTCTCAAATGCTTTCTTAACAGTATTTTTTATTAGTATATAAAAGTATTTTTATGACTCATATCAATAAAATCAAGAAAAATCACTAAAAATTTCATAAAGTGAAAGAAAATAAACACAAATTATTTTGAATTTTTCAGAAGTATGGTTTCGAAGTTTTAAGTTAAGCTTGCTTTTATTGCAAATATATATTTTAGGGTTGAATAGTCAATTCCAATATAGGATTTCATAGAGTGCATCTCATCCTATATAGGATTTGACTATTAAACCCTAAAATTTTCTTTTGTAAAATGGTGTATTTCACAATATATATACATATATACATACACATGCATATAAATATATGCATACATATATACTCACACACATGTATATGTATATTTTCATAGCCAGAGTATTAGGCTATTCAGAAACATAAGAGGTCATCAAGTATGAGAGTATAAAAGCTGCTTTTCAGCATTAATGTTGTGTCTATAATTCTTTATGGAGCAGCAAAGCTTAAATGACTAAAGCACGGATGAAAGTAATGATTAAAATACACAACTTCTATTTAGATTAAATATGAGAATTTAGGTTGTTCTTTTTATTTTTATTTTTTAAAGTTTTGTGGGTACATAGCAGGTGTATATATTTCTGGGGTGCATGAGATATTTAGGTATAGACATGCTATACACAGTAATCACGTTATGGAAAATTGGGTATTCATCCCTTCAAGCATTTATCCTTTATGTTATAGACAATCCAGTTATATTCTTTTAGTTATTTTTAAATGGACAATTAAATTATTATCAACTATAGTCAACCTGTTGTGATATCAAATGTTAGGTCTTTTTTATTTTTTCTATTTTTGTGTGTGTGTACTCATTAATAATTCCCACCTTCCTCCCAGCCCTCCACTACCTTTCCCTGCCTCCTGTGACCATCCTCCTATTCTCTGTCTCCACGAGTTCAATTGTTTTGATGTTTGTATTCCACAAATAACTGAGAACATGTGATGCTTGTATTTCAGTGCCTGGCTTATTTTGCTTCACATAATGACCTCCAATTCCATCTATGTTGTTGGAAATGACAGAATGTTGTTCTTTTTGATGGCTGAATAGTACTCCATTGTGTTTAAGTAACACATTTTATGTATCTATTCATCTGTTGATAAACATACGTTTTACTACATCTTGGCTACTGTGAACAAACATGAGAGTGCAGATATTTCTATATACTGATTTCCTTTCTTTTGTGTATACACCCAGCAGTGGAATTGCTGGATGGTATGGAAGCTCAATTTTTAGTTTTTTGAGGAACCTCCAAAACTGTTTTCCATCGTGATTATACTAATTTACATTCCCAACAGTGAACAAGGGTTCCTTTTTCTCTACATCCTCGCCAGCATTTGTTATTGCCTGACTTTTGAAAAAAAAGCTGTTTTTACTTGGGTGAGATGATATCTCGTTGTAGTTTTGATTTGTATTTAGCTGATGATCAATGATGTTGAGCACTTTTTCATATGCCTGTTTGCCATTTTTTTCTTCTTTTTAGAAATAGCTATTCAAATCTTTTGACCATACTTAATTGGATTATTAGATTTTTTCCTGTAGAGTTGTTTGAGCTCCTTATATATTCTGATTATGAATGCCTTGTCAGATGGGTAGTTTGCAAATATTTTCTCCCATTCTGTGGGTTGTGTCTTCATTTTGTTGCTTGTTTCCCTTTTATGCAGAAATATTTTGACTTGATCCAATTTGCCCATTTTTGCTTTGGTTGCCAGTGCCGTTGAGGTATTATTCTAGAAATTTTTGCCAAGACCAATGTCCTGGAGAGTTTCTCCAATGTTTTCTTATAGTAGTTTCATAGTTTAAGGTTTTACATTTAAACCTTTAATCTATTATGATTTGATTTTTATATAAGGTGAGAGAGATAGGGATCAAGTTACATTCTTCTGCATATGGTTATGCAGCTTTCCCAGCACTATTCACTGACAAGACTGTTCTTTCAGGTGTATGTTTTTGGAAGCTTTGTGAAAAATGAGTTCATTATATGGGTATGAATTTGTTTTCATGTTCTCTGTTTGTTGAACTGGTTTATGTGACTGTTTTGATGCCAATGCTATACTGTATTGGTTACTATAGCTCTGTAGTACAGTTTGAAATCAGGCAATGTTATTCTTCCAGTTTAGATCATTTTGCTCAGGATAGCTTTAGCTATTTTGGGTCTTGTGTGATTCTATATACAGTTTAGGATTGTTTCATCTATTTCTGTGAAGAATGTCTTTGGTAGTTTGATAGGAATTACACAGAATTTGTAGATTTCTTTGGTTAGTAAGGACATTTTAGCAATATTTATCCTTTCAATACATCAACATGGAATATCTTTCCACTTTTGGTGTCCTCTTCAATTTCTTTCATTAGTGTTTTACAGTTTTCATTGGAGACATCTTTCAATTCCTTGCTTAATTTTTTTTCTTAGGTATTTAATTTTATGTGTGACTAGTGTATATGAGATTAATTTTTTGGTTCCTTTTTCAGATTGTTGACTGTTGGGTTAAAAATGCCACTGATTTTTGTATATTGATTTTGTATCTTACAATTTTACTGAATTTGTTGATCAATTCTAATAGTATTTTTGTGGAGTATTTTGTTTTTTCTTTCCAAATATAAAATGTCATCTGCAAACAAGGATAATTTGACTTCTTCCTTTCCAATCTGCATGTCCTTTATATCTTTCTTGTGTCTGATTGCTCTAGCTCAGACTTCCAATACTATGTTGAATAACAGTAGTGAAATTAGGCATGCTTGTCATGTTCCAGATCTTAAAAAAAAGTTTTCACTTTTTACCCATTCAGCATGGTACTAGCTATGAGTCTGTTGTATATGGAGCTTTTATTATGTTGAGGTATGTTCCTTCTATACCCAGTTTTTGAAGGTTTTTATAAAGGAATGTTATGTTTTAACAAATGGTTTTTCATCATCAACTGAAATAGTCATACGGTTTTGTCTTTCATTCTGTTGATGTGATGTATCACGTTGATTGACTTGCATATGTTTAACCATCCTTGCTTCCCTGGGTAAATCCCACTTGGTCACGATGAGTAATCTTTTTAATGCATAGATGAATTCAGTTCGCTAGTGTTTTGTTGAGGATTTTTGCATTAGTATTCATCAGATATATTGGCCTGTAGTTTTCTATTTTAGTGTGCTTCTGTGTGATTTTGATATCAGGGTAATACTAGCCTCATTGAATGAGTTTGGCAGTGTTCCCTCTTCTAGTTTTTGGAAAAGTTTGAGTAGAATTGGTATTTTCTTTAAATGTTTGATAGAAATCAGGGCCGGGTGCGGTGGCACATGCCTGTAATCCCAGCACTTTGGGAGGCAGAGGTGGGAGGATCACTTGAGATCAGGAGTTTGGAACCAGCCTGGCCAACGTAGTGAAACACCATCTCTACCAAAAATACAACAGCAAAAACAAAAATAGCTGGGCGTGGTGGTACGTGCCTGTAGTTGCAGCTACTTGAGAGGCTGAGGCATGAGAATAGCTTGAACTTGGGAGGCAGAGGTTGCAGTGAGCTGAGATGGTGCCAGTACACTCCATCCTGGGTGATAAAGCGAGACTGCCAAAAAAAAAAAAAAATGTTCGGAGAATTCAGCAGTGAAGACATCGGGTCCCGGGCTTTTGTTTTCTTTACCAGGAGCCTTTTTATTATGACTTTGATCTCGTTACTTTTATTGGTCTGTTCAGGTGTTGCACTTCTTCATGGTTTAATCTTGGTACCTTGCATGTATCCAGGAATTAATCAATTTCTTCTAGATTTTCTAATGTATTGGCAGGTAGCTGCTCACAGTAGCCACTAATGAGCCTTTAATTTCTACAGTATCAGGTGTGATGTCTCCTTTTTCATCTCTCATTTTACTTATTTAGATCCTCTCTCCTGTTTTCTTACTTTGCCTAAAGGTTTGTCGATTTTGTTTGAATTTTAAAAAAACAACTTTTTGTTTTATTGATCTTTTGTGTTGCTTTATTTTAAATTTATTTATGTTCTGATCTTTATTATTTCTTTTCTTCCCTAGATTATGGGTTTGGTTTGCTCGTGCTTTTCTTGTTCTTTAAGATGCATCATTAGGTTTTTATTTAAAGTGTTTTTCGATGCAGACACTTATAGCTATACATTTCTCTCAGTACTGTTTTCATGCTATCTCAGAGGTTTTGGTATGTTGTGTTTCCATTATCACTTGCTTTAAGAAATTTTTCGATTTCTTTCTTAATTTCTTTATTTGCTCACTAGGGATTTGGGAGCATGTTGTTTAATTTCCAAGTTTTTGTATAGTTTCCAAAATTCCTCATCATTTATTTATAATTTTATTTCATTGTGTTCATAGAAGATGCTTGATATTGTTTCAATTTTTAAAAAATGTTTTAAGACTTGTTTATGACCTAACATATGGACTCGAGAATGATCCATGTGCTGAGGAAAAAAAAATGTTTATTCTGCAGCTGTTGGATGAAATGTTCTGTAAATATCTATTAGGTCTATTTGGTCTATAATGCAGATTAAATCTGATGTTTCTTTGTTGATTTTCTGTCAGGGAGATCTGTCCATTGTTGAAAGTGGGGTGTTGAAATCTCCAGCTATTATTATATTGGGGTCTATCTCTCTTTAGCTCTAATAATATTTCCTTTATATATCTGGGTGCTCCTGTATTGAGTGCATACATATTTAGAATAATTACATCCTCTTGCTAACTTGACCCTTTTATCATCATTAGTGACTTTCTTTGTCTCTTCTCACCATGTTTGTCTTGAAATCTATTTTGTCTAATTCAAGTATCACTACTCCTGCTCTTTTTTGGTTTCCTTTGGCATGGAATATCTTTTTCCATCCCTCTATTTTATAAATGACAATGTTTCTTGTAGGAAACAGATCATTGGTTCTTGTTTCTGATCCATTCAGCCACTCTGTGTCTTTTTTCACAGAGTGTAAAAATAATAATATTGAATGTCCATTTAAATTCAATATTTTTATTGATAAATAGGGACTTACTAATACCATTTGCTATTTGTTTTCTGGTTGTTTTGTGGTCGTGCCTTCTTCTTTCCTCCCTCCTGTCTTAGTTTTAGTGAAAGTGATTTTCTCTGATTGTATGCTTTAATTTTTTTGCTTTTTTCTTTGTGTATCCGTTGTTTGTTTTCTGATATGAGGCTTGCAAATACTATCTTATAGCTCATTATTCTAAACTGATGGAAACTGAACACAGATTGCCTAAAAAATTAAGCAAACTTGCAAAAAAAAACTAATAGAAATCTACACTTTATCATTGCCCCCTAGTTTTTAACTGATTGTTGTTTCTCTTTATGTCTTGAAAAGTGGTGGTGGTAATCATTTTTTATTGTTTCACTATTTAGTCTTTCTACTTAAGTCAAGAGAACTTTACAAACCAGTTACTGCATCCTACTATTCTGTGTTTCTGGGTGTGCTTACAATTACCAATGAGTTGCATATTTTCAGATGATTCCTTCGTGTTCATTATCATCTTTTTCTTTCAGATGGGAGAATTCCCTTTAGCATTTTTTGTAGGACAGGTGTGTTGATGAAATGCGCCAGCTGTTGTTTGTCTGAGAAGGTCTTTGTTTCTCCTTTATGCTAAAAGGATATTTTCACCAGACATACTATTTTAGAGTAAATTTTTTTTTCTCACTTTAAATATCTCATGCTACTCTCTCCTGGCCTGTAAATTTTCCACTAAAAAATCTGCTGCCAGGTGTATCTGGGCTCCATTGTATGCTAACTGTTTCTTTTTTCTCACTGCTTTTAGGATCCTGTCTTTTTCCTTGACCTTTGGGAGTTTATTAAATTCCTTGAAGTAGTCCTATTTGGGTTAAATCTGCTTGGTGTTCTACAGCCTTCTTGTATTTGGATATTGGTATCTTTCTCTATGTTTGGAAAGTTATCTAGTACTATCCCTTTGAACAAACTTTCTACCCCTATCTCTTACTCTAACTCCTCATTGAAGTCAATAACTCTTAGTTTTGCCCTTAGAGGCTATTTTCTAAAACTCGTGAGCATGCTTTATTATTTTTTATTCTTCTTTTCTTTTTTGTCCTTTTACTATGTACTTTATAGTAGCCTGTCTTTAAGCTCATGAATCTTCCTTCTGCTTGATCAATTCTGCTATAAAGAGACTGTGCATTCCTCAGTGTGTCAACTGCATTTTTTCAACTCTAGAAATTCCGCTTCATTGTTTTTAATTATTTTAATCTCTTTATTAAAATATCTGATAGAATTCTGAATTCCTTTTCTGTGTTATCTTGAATTTCTTTGAGTTTCCTCAAAACAACTATTTTGTATTCTCTGTCTGAAAGGTAAAATATCTGTTTCTCAAGAATTGGTCCCTGGCACCTTATTTAGTTCATTTGACTGGTAATGTTTTCCTGGATGGTGTTGATGCTTGTAGTTGTTCTTCAGTGTCTGGGTGTTGAATAGTTAGGTATTTATTGTACTGGTCACATTCTGGGCTTGTTTTTGTTTGTCCTTCTTGGGAAGGCTTTCCAGATATTCAAAGGGACTTGGGCCCCAAGCCCCAATAACATGGTTTTTGGTTGGTTGGTTGTTTTTTTCCAGACTCATAGAGGTACTGGCTTGGTAGTCTTGGATAAGATCCAGAAGCATTATCTGGATTACCATGCAGAGACTCTTGTTCCTTTCCCTTACTTTCTCCCAAACATATAGAGTCTCTCAGTCTTTGCTGAGCCACTGGGAACTGGGAGTGTGGTGATGCAAGCACCCTTGTGGTCACCACCACTTAGACTGTGCTGGATCAGACTGGAAGCCAGCACAGCACTGGCCCTTGCCCATGGCCTATTCTTTCTGGGTGACAAGTTCCCCCAGGCTCCTGACATATCCAGAGATGCTGTCTGGGAGCCAGGGATTAGAGTCAAAACCTTTCCAATTTACCTGATGTTTTTTCTACTGCAGCTAAGCTGGCACTCAGACCACAACACAAATTCCTTCTCACTCTTCCCTCCCCTTTCCACAGGCACAGGAGCCTCTCCCTGTGGATACCAGCACCACCAGTCCATGGTGGTTCTGCCAGGCCACTACTGATATTCACTTAAAACCCAAGGGATCTTCCATCAGCTTTTGGTGACTGCTACCAGGCCTGGGACTCACTTTCAGGGCAGTGGGCTCCCCTCTGGCCTAGGACAGTTCCAGAAATGCTGTCCAAGAGCCTAGGCCTGGAATCAGGGACCCTAGAAGCCTGCTTGTTGGTCTACCACACTGTGGCTGAGCTGGAGCTTAGGGTGCAAGACAAAATTTCCTTTATTTTTTCCTCTGATTTTTTTCAAACAAAAGAAGTTTTTCTTCATAGCCATCACAGCTGAGAATGTGCGGGGTCTCCCCTGACGCCAGCATGTCTCAGAGCCCAAGGTCCACGGTATAGTCCCTGGGTATTGCTCATGGTCATTCAGGGCCCAAGGGTTCTTTATTCAGCAGGTGATGAATCTTGCCATGACTGGGTCCTTCCCTTAAAGGCCCTTTTGAACAAGAATATGTCTAAGAAATGTTGTCAGGGAGCTAGGGCCTGGAATGGGGTCCTTAACAACAATGCCTGGTACTCTAGTCTACTGTGCCTGAGCTAGTATTCAAGATGCAAGACAAAGTCCTCTTTATTCTTTGCTCAGAATAAAGGGAGCATCAGTGGGAGGGGTGGCATCGGTGATTCAAGGTTGCCTCTCCAGACTTCCTCAATGACTCTTTTCATGATATAAAGTTAAAACTGGATACTGTAATTGCTCACCTGATATTGGGTTCCTGTGGAATGCTTTTCTGTGTATAGAAAGTTGTTAAAATTTGGTGTTCCAGCCAGGGCGATAAACAGTGTAGGCTTTTATTCAGCATCTTACTCTGCCCCCCTATTTTATTCTTATTTTCCCTCTGAATCTGATGATAACTAGATCATATTCAAAGTCTTTTTTACTTTAAAAATTAGAAAAATACCTTTTATATATCCTCATATTACAGAATATTTAAATTGGACTTTTAAGCTTTGCAATATTAAAAAGATCTAATTCAACTCATAGGTTAATCAGCTTTCAAGATGGTGCCCAATATTCCATACCTCCCAATATTCACAGCTTTGTATCACCTCATCTTCACATTGTACCAGGTTGGATCTGTGTGACCAAAAGGATACAGTAGAAGTGGTGGCATGCCACTTCTGAGATTAGGTTAGTAGAGCATTGTGGCTTCCTTCTTGAGCAAGTTACCTGGTTTCCCCCTTGGATAGCTCACCGTGAGGGCTGTGAACTACCATGTAATGACTAGCCTATGAAGAGGCCCATGTGGAAAGTAATAAAAATTTCCTTCCGATAGCTGCATGAGTGATTTTAGAAGCATATATTCCAGTCCTAGAAGACCTCTATCCAAGCTATTAACTTGAATACAACCTCATGAAAGATTCTGACCAAGAATCACCTACCTGAGCCATTCCCAGAATCCTGACCCTGAAAACCTGTGGGGTAATAGATATTTGTTGTTATAAGTGGCTATGTTTGAGGTTAATTTGTTAGCAGCAATAGGCAACAAAGAAAAGAACAAGACCTTCAATTTCACACCCTTCATAGTAAATCAGGATCAGTGTCTAAGTGTGAATAATTAATGGCATCTGGTCCAGGAACAAATCATTTTGCTATCAAAGACTATTTGTTTCTCATATAGATGTCTGTACCCATACATATAAGGGTAGCTGAATTACAAAATTAACCTCAGGAAATTATCGAGCCTTTCTAAGTGGCTCGCGGAGTCTTCTATGATCCCTGGTCCCACTATGTACATATCTACCTAAGGTATATTACAGTTATTCTTTGTCTATTTTAATTGCTAGATTGCAATTTCTTCAGGATAGGGCCTGTCTTTTGTATTCCTGGAGATAAGTACTCAATGCAATTCCTGGTATATAGTAGTTACTCAATATATAGTAGCCAAATATATGTCTGAGTTGTTACATTGTAGGTTCAATTAGATCCAAAAAATAGAATTTTTTTTAGTAAAATAAAAGTGTTATAATAATTGCAGGTGAGATTAAAAGAAAGTGGACAGTCTTGAAGGATATCTTCCAGACTCAAGTCACATTGTGCACATGTACCCTAAAACTTAAAGTATAATAATAATAATAATAATAGTAAAAGAGTTAAATCCCCAGGTGCCAAGTTTCCCTGCTTCGGACAGTCCTGAATATATATTCTGCAAAATTTACTTTTCAGTTTTCTACTTTGCTCTCCCTATCACTCTTCTCTTGATATATTTCTTTAGCTTTACCTGTGTGATTCAAGAATGCATTTAAAGAAGCCCCTTTATGCCAGTCCACATTGCATAAGAGAATACTTTAGAGACAGAACTATATACATTCCTGCTGGGCTATCCAGCAGTGATTGTGTAAAACATTAATGAATCCTTTTTGCTTTTCACCCTGGAAGACCAAATGCACATCTGTTGCCAGACACCTTGGTGTATGGCACATTTAAAGTAACTGCACCAGAAAAATGGAACCATTCCAGCTGCTCTCCACCTTTGCCAAAAATGTGCCAGTCATTTTGCTTAATGTGGTAGTGAAAAGACAGATATACAGATGTAAAGATCAAAATAAGTTGAAGTTGTAATTTATTTATATAGAAAAAAATAAGATTTGATACATTCCACGATGTTTTTGGTAAGTTACTTTGTCCTAAGTAGATTCAGTGGTTATCTGGCCATGTCTTTCCAAAGTTGGGTTTTAATATCTATTTTATTTAATAATTGATAAATAGTTTCATTTATAATCAATTATCATCATCTTCTAAAGAATTGCAGTTTCCTAGCTTAAAGGAAAGAGTTAAAGTTTGTGTTCCAGTTAATAGCTGCTTTCTGTGTTGGATGCAAATATTACACCAGTGACTTATTTCATTATTTAGATAATCTTCACCTGCAATAAACTTTAGTCCAGGCAGCTAATGTTCCCATAATGTTTTCTGAGAGAAGCTAATGTTAGAAGCCTCTAACCATATTTGCAAATAAATCCATGTGTCATGACACTCAAATGATTGGTCCAGAGAAGCTAATGACTTTGGTGACTTTTGTGGCATAGATTTCAGACAGTAATTTTTAGAGAGCATAAAGATTAAGAAGAAGAGAAACTAATCACCTATTCCTACAGTCTCATATTTTTAAAGACCTTGAAAGATAATGATCTGCATACCATGCAACTACAGTGATCCTAAATTACTTCATCTAAATTCAAGGTGGTAACATTAAATATCAGATTTTATTTTTATTTGTTTTACATGTTATTTAAAATCAGCATTGGGGGAGTAGGTCACTCATTCTGAAAGAATAATGGAGGACAGAAAATTACATAGAAATTATTTTCAGAGTATTTTAAACTCATTGGTTTGATATGTATAAAAATTACTCTCCAAACAACTAACTGAATGTGACATGGACAAACATTTGGTAAAAGTAGAATGAATGCCTGTTTTTTTTTTTTAAAAAAATGCAAATAAGCCTGGATTTCCCACACTCTCTTTGCCTTAAATAGTGAACCAAATATGTTTAGTATTTCCAAATTAAAAGTCACAATTATTTTCTGTATGGTTCAATTTCTTACCAGAATTATTTATTGACATTATGAAAACAAACACTTTTTCTTCACACAACCAAAGGCAAATGGAGGCCTATTTCAGTGGGGTTTAGACATCAGTTATAGTGTCTGAGCCCTTTTAAGTTTGTGTGTTTCTGTGTGTATGTTTTTATGCTAATGGTTTCTCATATAAAATGGAAAATTGCTTATTGTGACACTTATATTGAGAATAAACCCGTTATATTGAAAAGATGAGGTCATTTGGTTACTAATGACCTGTAACTTCATTTTTGATCCAAAAATGTCCTCTGAATTTCATACAAGCAACTGTGTATTTGCCATTGTCAACTAGATGCTTAAGTCCACTTCAAACTAAAAATATCCAAAATAAAACACGTGCTTTCCCTGCCCACCACTCTCCTCCTCTAATCAAAGCTGTCAGACAACTATTACGTCTTCAAAGTATTCTCTCTGCCTATATACTCATGCTGCCTTCCAATTTTTTTCACTTTCTACTGTCTGAACCATCTTTTAAAGATGCAACTCTCCTTGAAGAGGTCTTTCACATCCCTTGTAAGTTGTATTCCTAGGTATTTTATTCTCTTTGTAGCAATTATGAATGAGAGTTCACTCATGATTTGGCTCTCTGCTTGTCTGTCATTGGTGTAGAGGAATGCTTGTGATTTTTGCTCATTGATTTTGTATCCTGAGACTTAGCTGAAGTTGCTTATCAGCTTAAGGAATTTTGGGGCTGAGATGATGGGGTTTTCTAAATATACAATCATGTCATCTACAAACAGAGACAATTTGACTTTCTCTCTTCCTATTTGAATATCCTTTATTTATTTCTCTTGACTGATTGTCCTGGCCAGAACTTCCAATGCTGTGTTGAATAGGAGTGGTGAGAGAGGGCATCTTTGTCTTATGCCGGTTTTCAAAGGGAATGCTTTCAGCTTTTGCCCATTCAGTATCATATGGGCTATGGGTTTGTTGTAAATAGCTCTTATTATTTTGGTATATGTTCCATCAATACCTAGTTTATTGAAAGTTTTTAGCATGAAGCGGTGTTGAATTTTATTGAAGTCCTTTTCTGCATCTATTGAGATAATCATATGGTTTTTGTCACTGGTTCTGTTTATGGGATGGATTACATTTTTGAAGAAAAAGTCCCTTCCATATAATCCGTGTGTACACTTTTATTTTTTCCCTTAATCATACTTATTAGTTTGTAATACAGTTACTGTTTGATCACTTGTATACTACTAAAAATTATAAGGATAACTCTGCCCAGAAACATTTTTAACACCTCAATCTTTAGAGTCACAAGAAAGAAAAATTATATAAATATGTGGTTATAATGTCTGTTGTGAAGAATGACATACTAATCAATAAAAATTTTTCAAGCATGAAAAAAAAGGTGCAAATCTGATCATGTGTGGTGTTCTGGGGTTTCAGGTGTTCCTCATTAATCAGTTTCCACAGGAGTAACCATTTCTCTTGACTCAGATTTTCATCAAAGATGAATCTTAGGCACTATCTGAACTTCAAGCAGTCTCTTCTGCAGCACTCTTATAAAATGGGTGGCATAAGCACACCAGATACAGTCAGAATGTCAGATGACTCATGATTTGGCTCTCTGTCTATTATTGGTGTATAAGAATGCTTGTGATTTTTGCACATTGATTTTGTATCCTGAGACTTTGCTGAAGTTGCTTATCAGCTTGAAATTTTGGGCTGAGACGATGGGGTTTTCTAAATATACAATCATGTCATCTGCAAACAGGGACAATTTGACTTCCTCTTTTCCTAATTGAATACCCTTTATTTCTTTCTCCTGCCTGATTGTCCTGGCCAGAACTTCCAATACTATGTTGAATAGGAGTGGTGAGAGAGGACATCCCTGTCTTGTGCCAGTTTTCAAAGGGAATGCTTCCAGTTTTTGCCCATTCAGTATGATATTGGCTGTGGGTTTGTCATAGATAGCTCTTATTATTTTGAGATATGTCACATCAGTACCTAATTTATTGAGAGTTTTTAGCATGAAGGGCTGTTGAATTTTGTCAAAGGCCTTTTCTGCATCTATTGAGACAATCACATCATTTTTGTCTGTGGTTCTGTTTATATGCTGGATTGCGTTTATTGATTTGCGTATGTTGAACCAGCCTTGCATCCCAGGGATGAAGCCCACTTGATCATGGTGGATAAGCTTTTTGATGTGCTGCTGGATTCAGTTTGCTAGTATTTTATTGAGGATTTTTGCATCGATGTTCATCAGGGATATTGGTCTAAAATTCCCTTTTTTTGTTGTGTCTCTGCCAGGCTTTGGCATCAGGATGATGCTGGCCTCATAAAATGAGTTAGGGAGGATTCCTTCTCTTTCTATTGATTGGAATAATTTCAGAAGGAATGGTACCAGCTCCTCCCTGTACCTCTGGTAGAATTCAGCTGTGAATCCGTCTGGTCCTGGACTTTTTTTGGATGGTAGGCTACTAATTATTCTCTCAATTTCAGGGCCTGTTATTGGTCTATTCAGGGATTCAACTTCTTCCTGGCTTAGTCTTGGGAGGGTGTATGTGTCGAGGAATTTATCCATTTCTTCTAGATTTTCTAGTTTATTTGCATAGAGCTGTTTATAGTATTCTCTGATGGTAGTTTGTATTTTTGTGGGATCAGTGGTGATATCCCCTTTATCATTTTTCATTGTGTCTGTTTGATTCTTTCTTTTCTTCTTTATTAGTCTTGCTAGCAGTCTATCAATTTTGTTGATCTTTTCAAAAAACCAGCTCCTGGATTCACTGATTTTTTTGAAGGGTCTTTTTGTGTCTGTATCTCCTTCATGTTTTTGTAGTGGCTGGTACCGGTTGTTCCTTTCTATGTTTAGTGCTTCCTTCAGGAGCTCTTGTAGGGGAGGCCTGGTGGTGACAAAATCTCTCAGAATTGCTTGTCTGTAAAGGATTTTATTTCTCCTTCACTTATGAAGCTTAGTTTGGCTGGATATGAAATTCTGTCTGAAAATTCTTTTCTTTAAGAATGTCGAATATTGGCCCCCATTCTCTTCTGGCTTGTAGAGTTTCTGCGAGAGATCCATTGTTAGTTTGATGGGCTTCCCTTTGTGGGTAACCTGACCTTCCTCTCTGGCTGCCCTTAACATTTTTTCCTTCATTTCAACTTTGGTGAATCTGACAATTATGTGTCTTGGAGTTGCTCTTCTGGAGGAGTATCTTTGTGGTGTTCTCTGTATTTCCTGAATTTGAATGTTCCCCTACCTTGCTAGGTTGGGGAAGTTCTCCTGGATAATATCCTGCAGAGTGTTTTCCAAATGCTTCAAAGAGAATAGAATACCTAGGAATCCAACTTACAAGGGATGTGAAGGACCTCTTCAAGGAGAACTACAAACAACTGCTCAACGAAATAAAAGAGGACACAAACAAATGGAAGAACTTTCCATGCTCGTGGATAGGAAGAATCAATATCGTGAAAATGGCCATACTGCCCAAGGTAATTTATAGATTCAATGCCATCCCCATCAAACTGCCAATGACTTTCTTCACAGAATTGGAAAAAAACTACTTTAAAGTTCATATGGAACCAAAAGAGAGCCCGCATTGCCAAGTCAATCCTAAGCAAAAGAACAAAGGTGGAAGCATCACACTACCCGACTTCAAACTATACTACAAGGCTACAGTAACCAAAACAGCATGTTACTGGTACCAAAACAGAGATACAGACCAATGGAACAGAACAAAGCCCTCAGAAATCATACCACACATCTACAACAATCTGACAAACCTGACAAAAACAAGAAACGGGGAAAGGATTCCCTATTTAATAAATAGTGGGGTGGAAAGTGGCTAGCCATATGTAGAAAGCTGAAACTGGATCCCTTCCTTACACCTTATACAAAAATTAATTCAACATGGATTAAAGACTTGAAGAGGGCATCACAATCTCCCTCTTTTAGCAGGAACCAGTACATCTTAGGGAGGGTAAGGAAAGTAAGATCTATTCTCATAGCAGTCTTTGAGTTATCTGCAAATCAAAGAAGAGATAGCTATGACATAAGCTAATTCCTATGATGTCAGCAAAGACCAGGGAGGATACTCCCAATGGGACAAGATTCTCCATAGAGAAGGCACAACATGTTCTCTGTATGTGAGATTAATTTGCTGTAGCTGAAGTTCAAGAAGATTTTACTGCATATTTCCAGCTTTTTGAGTCTCATCTTTATTATGAGTAATTATCCAGAATTCCTTCCTCATTGTTATGCCCAGAGACTTCTATTAATTAGCTAATAGCCTGGGAATTCATTTAAGGGGTTTATTTACCTGATATAAGAAAAGCCACGCAACTCAGTATTAATCTTTTCTCCATGACTGTATCATATCTGATGACTTTAAATTGCTCTTAAGACAAGAAAAACAGATCTTACAATGCCTATGACCTTTTAAAATTTCCAAACAGTTTTATGCTTCCTTTAGCTTCCGCAACCTTGCAAATGCCACTACACTTTACCTATGATATTCTCCTCTAATTTCCTCTAGTTAGTGCATCCTTCAGGTCTCAAGTTTAAGTCATTTCCATGTATGACATCATGTTTCCATATTGTACGTGTCAGAGCACTCTTCTACAACAAATTATTCACTGCTATGTTTATATGTGTCTTCTAATTGATGTCCCTCTCTACCATTAGAATGCAAATTTCATGAGGCACAAGCCATGTATATTATGTTCATGGTACCTTGTACAAACCAGTGATCAATAAATATTTGTTAAATAGTTCAATTAATTTAAACAAAAGGACAAAAAATAGCTGGATACTATAAATTTTTAAGCATACTTATAAAATGCAAAAATGTAATATCTGCACTCAAAGCAAAATTTATTATAGGCAGTTAAATATTTAAAAAAGTGCCCTATTAACATTTTAAAAATGCTAATTAGAATATGAAACAATAAAATGGGAATTATCAGAATTGTCCAAATAATGAAGCACCCTAATGTTAGCTTTCATCTATAAAGTTTTATTAACAGTTTTCATTTTTGAGGATAAAATATATTATAGGAATAAAATGTTTCTACCACATCCAACTGTTTTCAAAATGTTAGTGGTATCAATGTCTTTGTTTCACAGGTTTCATCAAAGACTGAAGTGACTGAAATATTTATGTCATTTAAGGTGCATTGATAGAGGGCTCCAGTCAGGGCTTACCATTATATTAAAATTTCGCTAAGGAAAATATTTTTATAAAACATGTGTAAATCTGTATTAGAGAGACACATAATATGAACTTTAGATAATCCACTTTGTGAATCACTTTTTTTTTTAAAGGCTATTTTCATGAAATACAGTTTCGAGCGCTATTCTCTCCCTCCAATGAGGAAAAATTAGATAAATATATGTAGGGCATTTGAAAAACTAATTCATGTGGACTATTTCAGTTTTATGATAGCAGAAGCCAAAAGGGATTTAAACAAATAGTTCTTTTTTCTGCTTTCCTCTTCTGTGTTAAGGATTCATTTCACAATACTATTGAAGCCTATTTCAGTACACAACCAAATGCTCAAGTGACTTATGAAGTAACATTTAATGTCAAAAAAACGTCATTGTCCAGTGCAAAATCAATGGCCTGGTCGAGTTAAAGACATATTTTAAATCTGATTACATTAGATGGCAACTCTAATGAGAACATGTAACAACTATTATCCTGTTAGACATAATTTCAATCACGAATGTCAGACATCATTAATTTTGATTGCTTGGGGATTTAGAAATTCATTTTTATGAAATATTGTTTTGTGAAATACTGGGAAGAGTTTTTTATTTATTTCCCAGTATTAGCGTTAGGAAGGGGAGAAAGGTGTTGCAGTCTACTGAATTACAGAAAATAAGAAAGGTCAAGGTAAAAGCTATGCCAATAGCAAACTGAATCCTAGGAAGATATAAAATGGCCTTTAAGAAGAAGTTGAGCACTATATCAGAAATAAGGTAATTATTTGGTCATATTATAATATAAGAGAAATCACTTAGATTAAAATATGCAACCTAGATTCATTCATAAACCAAATCTTAAAATGATGCCTGTCTTTTGGCAAGTAGTCAATAATACTTTTATGAATGAAATGAACATTACAGATGTTATAATATTTGTATCTTCTAATGTTAAAGCTACATTAATCCTGCCAAGCCAATAGAATAAGAGTTTTGTGTTTTTCAAGGAAAAAATAATTTCTTATAAATACAAGTACTAATATAATTTGTTACATATGATTTCAGAATTTGACCAAAATGCTTCTACCTGATAATTTGGCACTATTTAAAGATATAGAACCTTGGAGTTTTTATTTCTTAAGTGTTTGAATTTGTATAATTCTCAAATCTATTGGTTTTTTACTTTCTCTTACTCTTTTCTATGTACTTTATAGGTAATAGCATTCAATTTATTTTTAGGAACAGCTATAAATTGCTTAACAATTTCTGCCCACATACTTTTTATTACTAAACTAGAATCTTTCCCACAGAGAAAGATATTGTGTTATGACTAAGTGGTGTGTGAAACAAAAAATATGGATATTGATTTTTGAACTTCAAACCCACCATTTTAGAAAAGTAAAGAGGTTGACATCTAAGCACAATATATTCTCTCATTTCTGGTGACCACAACTCCCAATTACAAAATGAGGTTGTCCCAGGTTCCATTATAAATTTCCTTCAGAGTTTATAAGTCAGCTATAAAACATACTCTGAAGCAGAAACTTAACACATGGGGATTAGGCTTGGGAGTGCTTTATTTTTAATTCAAATTTAGTTTGAATTTGTTCAGCTATTTCTAAGTGACAGGACATAATAAAAGTGAATATGGGAATGCAGCATGCCTTTTTTGCATTTCTATAACTAGGAAATTAATTTCTTTTATAAAATATAATTTTTTCAGGTCATTGATTGGAGACATGATTTTATTGTTTGAGGGAGAAATATCAACAATTGCTATTAAATAAATAAGCAAGAAACCAACAGTGAAACACAGATGATAAAAAATTAGAATATGTAGTGTCTCCCCATAGCATTTATTTTTATGATTAACAAGTCCCTATATAGCCACTATCAGTATATCAGGTAGATAAATAAATTTTCTGTTAAAATAACTTTGAATGCAAAAAATGTATACCAAACCTAGAAGAAATGAAAAATGCTCACTAACAGATTTTCAGGGTTTTGTACTTAAGATAATTTAAAAGTCAGTTTACTAAGGTCACTCAAACTATGTAATCCAGCAGCAATATCAGCATAATAACTCATCAATGTTATACATATTATAATTTTATGTATGTGATATAATTGGCCCTTGAACAACATAGGTTTGAATTGCACAGGTCCACTTACACACAGATTTTCTTCTGCCTCTGCCACCCCTGAGATGACAAATTCAACCCCTCCTCTTCCTTCTCCTCAATGTTAAGACAGTGAAGAATAAGACGATTGTAATGATCTATTTCCATGAAATGGATAGTAAATATATTTTATCTTCCTTATAATTTTCTTAATAACATTTTCTTTTCTCTAGCTTACTTTAATGTAAGAATGAAGTATTTTATATATATATATAATAAAATGCACAAAATTATGTTAATCGACTATGTTGTGGGTAAGTCTTCTGGTCACCAATAGACTATTAATAATTCAGTTTTGGGGAAATCAAAAGTTATTTGTAGCTATTTTACTGCACTGGGGGTTGGTGCCATTAATTCCTATGTTGTTCAGGGGTCAACTGTATAATGTTATGCTTATGGATATATATTTCCTCAACTTTACATCTGTATTGGAGTTGTCAATTTGGAAAAAAATAATTATACAAATTACAAAAGTAAAAATGCAAATTATAATTTCTCTTTCATTTTGAGGTTGCATAATAATATTTCATTTAATTTTTTCTAGACCTAAGCTTAATAAGGGAACTGTTTTGAATTATTTATTTAGGAATTGAGGGTAGTTTAACTGTGCCACACTCTGTTTTTCTCACCCAGCAGTAGTTGTATCTAATTATGAATAATGGGTTAACATTATAGTCACTGACTGTGAAACAGAGAAGGTTTCAAGGACTAAGAATGAAGTTGATCAGTTCGGTCTCTGAACCTTGAGTTTACTGTCTATAATCTTCTAGACACTAACATTAATCCTTTTCAAGTACCACATAAGTTAGAATTTTGCCTGGGTTTTTGTGGATCTACACTCTTGCTGCCCCTCCATTTCCTGTATTACCTGCATTATCAGCTTATATCTAGTTTTCTACTTCATGATCTTAGACACAGCCTGAAATGTATTTAAAATTTGGCTTGGATAACTTCTGTTATCTAATGTTGCCACAGGTGCATTGGTTACAATTTCTGCCCTCCTACATTCAGTTAGTAGAGTTTTCTCCTCGTCAGCATTGGTTCTGTAGCTTTAACTTTGACATGGATCAGTACAGTGCCTGACCCAAACATCTAAGTCTTCTTGCATCACTTATATCTGGATTTACCCATGAAAAACCAGTATGTTTTGAGAAAGGCAGAGGAACAAAAAGATTTATGTTGGTGTTTTAACTTTTTGGTACAACAGTAGAATCCTAGGACTTTGTCAGCCTTGATTTATATTTTATATGGGATTTTTCATGTATTCTTTTGAGTAACAATAGCTGTAATTATTTTTTCCACAACATCTTTGTACAATTTTGTAACCATGATGAAGAAGCTATAAGACAAGTTGTCAACTATTTCCTGTCTATTCTCTGGAAGTGTTTACCTAAGATTAATATTAATTCATTCATAAATGGTTGATAAAACTGTCTTGTGAAATCACCTACTTTGGAGTTCTCTATGTGGATAATTTTATTATTTAGTTTGTTTGATTTGCTTGTTTTTATTAAGGATTTAATTTTCTTAGAAGTTATGGAAGAATTAAGATTTCCTACTTCTGTTAAATTTGTTAAGTGCGCTTTTGTTGGACCAATAGAAAAAATAAAATGAGTTCAATTATATTGATTTTCTGTAAAGAAAACATTCCATTGTGAATCACAGTTTCAGCTAGCAAGTATAACCAGTTAAGTTGTGATATACTATTTTTAGTGCCAACTAGGAAGTATTGTCTTAAGCTAGTAATTTATAATATCTAAATATATGCTTGACCAAAAAAGTTGTATATACAGACCTAAAATACCTACATAGAACAAAGGTAGCTGCGTTGGAGCCAGGTTGTACAATTTTTTGTAACCCGTATGCTTGAGACATTTGAAGCACTAACCAATAAATATGTTATTAGGCAATTGAAACACTTTATAAACGGAAAGGTAAATGTGTCTATATCTGAGGTTTTCAACCATACTCCAAACCAATTAAACAAGGATCTTAGGAGTAGAGACTTGCCATCTGTGTTTGTGGAAATTCCTAGATTATATTAACGTAAAGCCAAATTTGAAAAACATTGATATTGATGGATCGATAAGTGATTACTGTCAAGACAAAAATGTATAGGTTTGAAGCACCAGGTGTTTGTTCTAGACTATCACAAGTTCAAATTAAAGTATGGAATGGGAATTCAATCTTCATGTTTCATTAATACTGTTGTTGAATAGTTACTATTATCTGAGACTAATAGAAACACTGGGAATGAAGCAGTGAACAAAGAGTCTTAACTCCTTGTTTCATGGAGTATATATTTGGATTATAGTAAAGAAGGAGTAATAAACAGGAAAATTTGGTATTAATAAGTGTTATATTATACATAGAGATATTTGAGTGAAGAGGTATATGCTGTAGATGGAAGATGAAGAAAGCCTATCTGAGTGGTTAAGAATTTATGTTTAAGGAATGAGAAAGAGAATGTAGTGAGAGTGGATTGTAGCAAGAAAAGATGGCACAACAGCAGGCACAAGTTACCTCATAACAAGACTATTGTTCAAACTAATGTGAATTTAGGTCTCATTTGAGGTTTTCCCTTTGGGAGAGGGTACAGTTTCATTTGCACCAAAACCATGAGGCCATCTTGGGTATAATGCAGAGAATAAATTAAAGAGAAATCAGAAAAGAAGGAAGAAGATTAATTGACATGATATTCATGTGCTCATATGTGGTTTTGTCTTGTATTACGGTGAAAAGCATCAGTGATGAAAATAGATGTGTTTTAGTCCACTCACATTGCTATAATGGGATACTTGAGTTTAAGCAGTTTAATAAGAACAGAGGTTTATTTGGCTCACTGTTCTGCAGACTGCACAAGAAGCAGAGGACCAGCATCTGTTTCTTGTGAGGGCGACCAGATGCTTCCACTAATGGTGGAAAGGGAAAGTGAGCCTGTGTGTGAGGTCACATGGCTAGAGGGGAAGCAAGACAGAGATGGAAGGGAGGTGCCAGGCTCTTTTTAACAACCAGCTCTGGTGGGAGCCAGAATTTACCCATTACCTTGAGGATGGCACTAAGCATTTATGAGGGATCCTTCCCCATGAGCCAAACACCTCACATTATGTCATACATTCAACAAGGGGGATCATATTTCAACATGAGGTTTGGAGGGGTCAAGTATACAAATCATAGAAAGGAGGAAGGATGCAGAGTATACTTTGGAATTTGAGCTGCCAGAACTTGCTGAGGAATTTTACACAGAGACTGAAAAAAAAAAAAAAAATGGAGTGACTTCTTAGTTTTTAAAATTGTATTTGTTGATTTTTATTTTTCTTTCCTTCAGCAACAGAATAGGCAAGAAGATGGTAAAGACTAGAGAGGAAAATTAGGTGAAGAAGGTGAAATCAGGAGTGGAATTTTGTTTTGGCCAGTGTCAAGTTTTTTGTTTTGTTTTGTTTTGTTTTTTTGAGATGGATCTCGCTCTGTCGCCCAGGCTGGAGTGCAGTGGCATGATCTCGGCTCACTGCAACCTCCGCCTCCTGAGTTCAAGCGATTCTCCTGCCTCAACCTCCCTATTAGCTAGAACTACAGGTGCGTGCCACCACGCCCAGCTAATTTTTTGTATTTTTAGTAGAGACGGGGTTTCACCGTGTTAGCCAGGACTGCAGTGTCAAGTTTGAGATGCCTAATAGAAACCCAGGCAAAAGTCTCCAGATGGCATTGGATATACAATTCTGGATCTCAAACAGACAGAGGCAGGCTAGATGTAGAAGTTATTGAGTCAGATATATTATGCTAATTGAGGCAGACTGCCACTGAGTAAAAGAGTAAGGGTCATGGAGAAACTATAGGTCATGGGGACTGTGACGATAGGATTGTTGCCCAGAAAATGAAAAGACAAGGCAAAACTGATCGTCTGGGGTCAGGCTTAGGAGCAAACCCATTCTTGGGAAAAGTTTTGGTAGACTCGGAAATTAGATGTCAAGAAAGTGTTGGAGAAAAATAAGTAACCAGTAAAATTTTGTGAAGCAACAAAATGTTTAGGTTAAACAGTGAGCAAACAGAAAGACTGTGACTCCTTATGTGGTCTGGAGACTTTGCCTTCTCTTTCCAATGGGGCTGCAGTCAGTTCTGGAGTGTGACAAATCTATGGCTCAAAAATGAAATAGGGAGCTAGCCAAGAGATTTGTTAACTATATTAATATAGAAATAAGGCTAGACATTGACAACAGATTTAGTCACGTAGAATATGTGGGCTGGTCAGATATTCCAGGTGAATATTCAACTTTTCTACTTCATAGAATTCTGTAGACTTAAATACAGGAATAGGATTGATTTTGCTGATCAACCAGAAAAATATTTTCTTTGGAGGAAGAGTGCTTACTATAGATGCAAATACACACACACACACACACACACACACACACACACACACACATACATTAGCAAAACATAGTGATCCTAGCGCTGGTAAGCAGTGTAATAAAAAACAGAGCAATTAAGTAAAATCAAATTTTCTGCTCAATTTGAACTCATTGGCATGTAAAGTCTACTGTATTTTTCCCAAGCTGTGTTTATGTAATTAAAGTGAAGAAAGAAGATTATATTACAGAGTGTGTTTGTGACAGTAAAGGGAGTAAAATGTTTTATGAAAACAAATACATAAGAAAAATTCTTTCAAGCTAGGATTTTGTATTGTTTTTGGCATAGTTTCTTTATATAATAAACAAGCCTTCTGCAGACAGCTGATTGGTTTCTACATTTTTCTTCAAGAAATATCTTAAGAACATTCTTTTTGCACATCAGCATTTTTGAAGCATTTCTGATTTATTTCTTGTGAATTACATAGAATCTGTTGCATCATCAGAAAATATTCCAAGCAGAAAAAATTGTTACTTTGCAAGTAGGTGGATGACTGTAGTTTTGAGGAAATGTTGCACTTCTACATCAGGCCATTTTGGAGGAAGAAAACATATCTGTTGTTTTTCTTTAATTTTTCAGGAAACACCAAATGAGTTTTCAATTAGTATTCATGAATTGTCTGCACAGGTCAGTAATCAAATTATTTTTTATGTGTCAGCCTACTGAAGAAAAGTAGAAAATCACTGCTTACTTTCATGTAAATTCAGTTGTTCAGAGGATTGATAATCTACTTGGGAAGACATAAACCATTCATTTTTTAATTCTTGTCTGCTGGTTATTAATGCTTCCGTTACAGGCAAGAAAGTGAGCTATTTCTCCAGCTCACAGTTATAGTAAGAGGTATAAGGGACAAAAGAAGCATTATTAAAAACTTCCCACCTGAGATTAGATTTTTTTAAGGCTTCTCTTAGCCTATACCATGACCAGACATCTCAGAACTTTTAAATTCGTAATCACCTGTATACCATTACTTACATAATTTAAATATGGATCTAGGGACAAATGAAGTAGAAATATCTATTTACTTTATGCTGATTTGAGGGAGACGTAAAGTCAAATGTAATTGTAGCATCCAGCAAGAAAAAGGGCTGAGAAAAAACAGTGCACTGAAAGGCGTGTACCAGGAAACCACAGGCCAACCACTAGTTTAAGCTGTGACTGGAAGCATTGCAGAAGGCTAATGAAAAAAGACTGACCTCTGGGTAATCCACCACGTACCTAACCTCTCTCTTCATTCCAGCCTTCCTTGTTCAAATGTCACCTGCCATGAATATAGTTGGAGCCATAAGGCTTCTCTTTAGGCCACACTAGAGTCAATGTACATTGCATTTGCCAGGCTTCTTGACTCCTTCAAGAAGCCCTCACCTCTGCCTTGGACCCCCAACTGTACTGTTGTCCCCACCAGAAATGTTAAAATAATTGTCCCCTGAAGGACAATGGTGGCAATGCTACAAAGACCTTAGTGTAAGGTTGAAGTATAAAAGGTTCCACTTCCTTGTCCTATACTATCTTTAAACTCTTCATAATACTATTAACAAAGTAATTATAGTTGGATGACCTTTATTGATTATCTAGAGGTGAATGACTATTTACATGCAAGCATAGCATCAACAAAACAAAAGAAAACAAAACCCCAAGCAAGCCAAAATGCAACGTAATAATTACTATTGGATACCAATATCCCCGCCCCCCTCTCCTTACACAGGTGCTCACTGACTCCACTCTTTTCTTAGATCTTGATCAATTGCTATTTTCATAGGTCCCTTATCTTTCTAAAATTTTTGCAAATCTATTCTCTCTTGCTAGCTGCCTGGACGCTCATAGTTTTGCAAGAACATGAATGATTATTCTCTTTTTTATTGTACAAAATAATTCAGATCTCTCTTCCTTATTCCATTCATTTAGGATATGTCCAGAAGGCATCATTTCTCTTCACTGAAAAGTTCCATCAGGGTGTTTTCCTAAATAATATAATCTATCTAAGTGTTGTCACTCCCTTGAAGGTAGAAGATGCCATAGATTGCATTCAATTATTTTTCAAATAATTACATACACATGCAGATATATCTATATCTAGGTCTAGACAGATATAGCTATTGATAATATGTGTGTGTAGTTATCTGTAAAATAATACATATAGATATGAAAAAACTCTTGTTCATATTCAAGTACAAATTGCTTCATAGTTAAATGCTCATGTGTTTGGGTGAACTATAGGTAAACTTACGTGGAGGACTCTTCTTATTGGGCTTCCCACATTTGGAGCAGCTTTTACCTTAGAGCATCTTAAACATCAGTGTTTGTCCCCTGAAACTGATGGCTAATAGAAGCCTAATTATTCCCATTCTGAGCTCTTTATATGATGTCTTTATGACAGTGCACCAGCTGATAATGGTTTGGCTCCGTGTCCCCACCCAAGCCTCATATAGACTTGTAATCTCCATATGTCAGAGGAGGGGTCTAGTGGGAGGTGATTGGATCATGGGGACAGATTTCCACCTTGTTGATCTCATGAGATATTATCATTTAAAAGTGTTTGGCCCCTCCCCCTTTTCTCTCTCTCTCTCCTGCTCCACTGTGGTAAGACATGCTTGCTTCCCCTTCAACTTTACCATGATTATAAGTTTCCTGAGTCCTCCCAGTCATGCTGCCTTAACAGCCTGTCCAATTAAACCTCTTTTCTTCATATTTTCTTCATAAATTACTGAGTCTCTGGTAGTTCTTTATAGCAGTGTGAAAACAGACTATGCAAGCTTTAGGAAGGGAACATATTAACTTTACAATAATTTTAATGACTTCAAATTAATATATTAAGTATCCATTCTATTGTGTAAAATGCTTTCATTAAATGTTTATTGAGAACAAAATGAAAGAAGGGAAGAAGAAAAACTGTTTCCACCTCTTTAGATATTTTGGCTAAAGTGTCTCAAAATTATAGGGATTGCATTGTTTCTTCAATTAGGACATTTAACATGTATTTAGTATTTCAGTCATGGTTTTGCTCTGTTTGGCATATAGTCAATTTTTTAAGCTCCCTTTCCAAACCATCAGCCACGTCAATCATTATGTCCAGGGGAATGTTTCATGATGTTTAGGGACAAGGATTTTCTTTGAGAAATTTTGCACTCCTGAAAAAGATACAGGCATGGTAGATAGCTTCCTTCAAATCCTTATTGTTTTTATGGTGAAAATAATGCCTGCATATTCAGTAGCCATTGTGCACCTGCAAGGTAACAAACAGCAGACAAGTCAATCTCTGCTAAGTCTAGCAGAGCAGAAAAAAAAGCATAGATAATTAAATAGTGCTTTCAGAATTCTATCTCCAGACTGTTATTTTTTAGTAAAGTGTTGTTTAAACATTCTGAGTGTAATATCCCATTAATGCACCAATTTGAATTCCTAACTGATATATTCTGACAAAGGGATTTTTCAAGTACAGCTATAGAACTGTTCAGTTCCAAGTTTCTACTCAGGACATCTTGGGAGATACTGACAGAAAAATAAACAACCATCCTTTAATCTTGGTTTGCTTTATTATGATTCATAAAGTCCAGTGAAGTCATGACTGACTCATCAGTTTCTGGTCCTATGATGAAAAATGAGGTTCAGTTTCATTAAACATAATTGTTTCTTCATGAACTATAAACTAGCATCTAGAATTGGTTTATTTGCCAAGAGAGACTGTTATTTTGATATATTTTAATTGGAAGCAATTGTAGCATTTTTTCTGCAAATAATAATGAACATTACTTTCTATTCATGTGATTACAATATCTTTGTTAATATTGATATAAATATTGTTTGGATATTAAAATATACCATATCAACATTTTTTCAGGTGAGGTAGAATCAAGATTGTACCCTGTAATTTTTGCTGGTTTCATAAATGATCAGAGTTAGAACTCTTTTAAAGATGGGATTGGAAACATCATAAAACAAATGAACAGTTATGCAAATAATTGCTGTTATATCATTTTAACAATTCAAATTGATATGGGAATTTGTCATTTCTTTGCTTGAATTGAATTTTCTTCATCAGTTGGTTAAAATCAGACTTTATGCATTGTACGATTTAATGGCTGTAGATGACATTCATATAGAAATAAAGATGTAAAATTGAAGGAAGCTGCTGTGTATTTTGATTCTTTATGTCAAAAATAATGAAAAATAACCACTTTTCAGTGATCGTTCTAAGTATTGTGTTATACATACATAACTTATCATAGTCTACTGATGTCATTATTTTACCAGTTGAGTAAAATATCTTCTAATGGCCATTTATCCTCTGGTTTATAGTATAATTGTCTTAATCATTTCCTCTCTATATAAATTTAGAACCACATCGGACAATGCTATAATTTTTGCTTCAACAATCCAACACACAGTAGTTTCCTCTTATCAAAGGAGGATATCTTTGATAAGAGGATACCAGGGATAGTACCAGGGGATGCCTTAAACCATGGATAGTACTGAACCCTATATATGCTATATTTTTCTTTTCTATACAATCACATCATACAGGGCAGGTAGCATGTACAATATGGGTACGCTGGACAAAGGAATGACTCATGTTCTGGCAGGATGGAGCTAGATGATGGGAGACTTCATTGCACTACTAAGAATGACAAAATTTAAAATGTATGAATTGTCTATTTCTGAATTTTTTTCATGTAATATTTTCATAGTGTGGTTGACCAAAGGTAACTGAAACCACAGAAAATGAGACCTTAGTTAAGGAAGAACTGCTATATAGATGCGGCTTGACTTATGATGTGACTTATGGTTTTTCTACTTTACCATGGGTTTATCAGAATGTAACCCCATAATAAGTTGAGGAGCATATGGATTTACAGTCTTTTGAATTATGATTTTTTGGCTTTATGATAGGTTTTTTTAGATATTAAATACGTTTCGGACTTGCAATATTTTCAACTTACAATGGGTTTATCAAGATGTAACCCCATCATAAGTCAAGGAGTATCTGTACTTTAGAAGACTTAGGAGGAAAAGTCTTTTTTTGTTTTGTCTATTTTTTGATTATCATGTTCTTCCTTCCTGATATTCCAAAATTTCTACTACTATTACATATCCATGAAAATTAAAAATATATATATTTTATATATTCCTTCTTTTATCATTTTTCTGTTTAGATAGCTTCCTCTGGCCATTATTTTATGGTAGGTCTACTGTAGATGAATTATCTTATTATTCCTTTATCTGAGAATGTCTTCATTTTCTGTCATTCCTGAAGAATATTTTTACTGGATATAGCATTCTGGATTGACAATTCTTTTCTTACCACATTTGAAACATGATGTGTTTATTTCTGCCCTCCATGATTTCTAGTGAAAAATTCACTGCCATTCACATTGATTTCCCCTATGCATAAAGCATTCCTTCTTTCTTGCTATATTCAATATTTTTTCTGTCTTAGTTTTCAGAAGTTTTACTATGATATCTCTTACTATGGACTTATTTGGGTTTATTCTGTTGGCAGTTCACTCAACTTCTTGAATCTATAGGTTTATGTCTTTTTCTGAAATTGACTATCTAGCATTATTTCTTCAAGTGCTTTTTCAATTCCCTCCTTTCCTCCTCCTCCTCTCCGTGTGCAACTCCAGTGAAAGGAATGATAGATCTTTTCTTGTAATCCTAAGGTGTCCGAAGCTCTGTTCATTATTTTTTGAATCGATTTCCTCTCTGTTACTCAGACTGGGTAATTCTAATGTTCTGTCTTCAAGTTTCTGCCTCTTTCATTATGCTGTTTAACCCATACATTGAGCTTTATTTTTGCAACCGTACTTTTCGTTTCTAAATTTTTAATTTAGTTTTTTTCCTTTTTTTATTTCTTTGCTGGAAATCTCTATACTTTGTGTGTTGCTAAATGGTCATTCACATGTTTTTACGGGGACTGCTTTAAAATTTTGTTATCTATACCTAACATCCCTGTATCTAGTGTTTGGACTTACTGTCTTTCTCTCAATTAGTTGAGATACTTCTGGTTCTTAGTATGATGAGTCATTTTTTATTGAAACTTGGGCACTTGGTTATTATTTTGAGACTCTGGATCTTACTAATTTTCAGTTTACCTGATTTTCACTACTCCAGCAGGGAAAGAGGGAGGTGCTGCCTTGTTACTGCCAATTGGAGATTGAAGTCCAGGCTTCCCTCTTTAATCTCTGTTGACACCGTTAGCCTTCTCTGAAATCATCCTAGAGGTGGGTAGAAGATGGAGTGCTTGTGAGTCTCATCTTAGCTGAGTGCAGGTAGAAATCTAGGCTACCCAGGGAAGCTGCTGGTGGTGTAGGTGGGGTTGGTCCTACAGGTTTTGTTGTTGTTGTTGTTGTTGTTGTTATTGTTGTTCTTTTCTTGTGGTGTTTGGTTGAAGAAGAGTAGTTAATGTCTAAAACTTTAATGCGAGGCTTCCCCATTTCTAGTTTTTTGGTAATAAAGAGCTAGACATCATACTTTTTTGTTTTTTGATCTTGTTGTATTCTTGTTGTTGTTGTTGTTGGTGGTGGTGGTGTGTGTGTGTGTGTGTGTGTGTGTGTGGTGTCTCATTAGAATTTCTGTGTGGCTGGCTTATTTAACACTCAACCTTAAATGTTTAAGGAAAAAAAGCAAATCTAGGAAGCTCACTATTATGGGATTTTTGGGGGTGTTGCTTTTCTAGCTGGAAACCTCTGTGACCGGTTGTGCTTTTGCCCAAGTTTTGCTCAGCCCTGCCTGGTCCACTCGGCCTGGCAGGCTACAGTCAGCTCTTGCTACCGGCCTGGATCTCATACTTCTGAAGAGACTGGAGTGGAGTGGCAAGAGGTGTGTGCGTGAACAGGCATGGGGTCCAGCCACTGCACACAGTCAAGCACACTGGCTGCTGCAGTGGGTCAGGCAACTCCAGGTGCCAGCACAGGTGCCAGCTCATTACAAGGCTGTGGCTGGACCAGGCACACCAAAAGCACCTTCCATGGCTGGCACTGGGGAACATGATGGTACCTGGAAGCTTGAGGACTCCAGAAACTTCAGGGGTTCAAAGGGAGAGTCACAGCCCTTGCTAGGAGAGCTTGCAGGTCTGGGATCCCCAAAGGGCCACAGCTCTTCTCTCCTTCTCCCTTCTCTCCTTCTTGTCACCCACAATGTGATGAGCAAAAGGCTGCTTCAGCTCTGTTTGTATTACAGCTCTTTTAACCCCTCCACAGGGTGGGTCCCAAGTTCTTGTCCTGTGTCCAGGAAGAATGAGGTACGTAGACAAGTGGAGGGTAGGCAAGACAGCGGAATTTTCTTGAGTGATAGAACAGAGAAGACCCAGAGAGGCTATCTCCTCTCCATAGGCAGGTCATCCTGTTGAGTATTCAGTTCTCAGCACAGAGGTAGCTCTTCTCTGCAGTGGGTCATCAGCAGATGGGAGAACCTGGAGTGGGAAGCTCCTCTCTGCAGTTGGTCGTCCCATCATCTTCCAGTTGCCTCTCCATCCTCTCCTGGAGTCTTGCTGAGTCTGGGGGTTTCCATGGCCTCAGAGGGGAGGAAGTGCATCCTGATTGGTCCATGGGCAGCCATGGGTGGGCCCAGGGAAAAGCATCACACATTCCGACTCCTGTCCTTGGGACTGGCAGCCTGGCCCCAGGCTTCAGACCTTCCCTGGCTTGAAGGTGGGGCTTCACCAGGGACCCACACTCTTCCACCCTGAAGCCTTTCAGTCTCCTGCTGCTGTTCATGGAGCCCAGGCTGTTTATGTCAAGGGCCACCTGCAGCCCAGGACTAGGATGTTTTCAGCCTCCCCACCCCTTCATTCTCCCTCCCGTACTCATCAGTGCCTAAAGTCTGGAGGGGGCTGAGATAGCAGGGGGCTGGTGTTGTCAGTGCTGCCTGAGCATGTGCACACCGGCTGGGCTGCAACAGCACCCGGACTTGGCCCCATTTTTGCTCTGAGATTGGAGTGAGCGCTGGGAGCAGGGAGAGGCCAGGCAGCCAGAGCAGACACCTCTGAGCGTATAGGGGGTAAGGGGGAGCCTTCCTGTCTCCCAGAGTGCAGAGATGCCTGGGTCTGTCGCCTTAGCTCGATAGCTGCAGCTGGAAAAGCAGGGCTCTTGCCTGCTCCCGGCACCCAAGAGGGAGGCCTATGTCCACAGCCAGGACTTGGGCTGCTGGAGCCATGCCTGGGAGGGTGGGACTGCTGTCTACTCCCGGCTCCTGCAGGCTCTGTGGAGGGCGGTACCCCCTCAGGCCCAGCTCCACCCCAGGGCCCCTTTCTGCCCACCCATCCGTGCCCGACTGCACTGCTCCCCAACTGGCGGGCAACTTGGCCCAGCCCCATCATGGTAGACTCTGGGGAGCTCCCAGGTTGGGCTCGCCGGACTGTCCGCCGCCTCTCTGTGCCCTCCCTGCAGTGGTGGCAGGCTAGAGTGGCGACATGGGGCCAGGGGCCAAAGCGGCAGAGGCTCCTGGTCTGACAGTGGGTCCCGCCAGGCTGAGCAAGGGCAGGGGCGGCACAGTCGGCTGCCTCCAAGATACGGGGCATAGGGGACACAGGGCACAGGAGTCCCAACACTGCCATTGCAGCTCCCACCCGCAGCGACCTGCCCGCACAGCCCCCCACCCCCTTAGCAGCCAGCACCATGACAGTGGTTGCTCTGGACAGCCCACTACTGCCATCATCACTACCACATCATTTATTGAGTTCTGAGGTCCCTAGCATGTCTACCTTCTCTCCGCCTTTCAAAAGTCTTCTTAGCTTGATTTTACATACGATATGCAGAGTTTTTAGCTACACTTGGCAGACGGAATAGGGAAAAGTTCTTCTATCTTCCCATAAGCAAAAATGCATTTGCTCTTTTTTTAATTTACTGGACAGTGTTCTGTTGTATGGACAGATCCCATTTCTTCATTACTCAATTGTTGTTTCTAGTTTTTGACATACATGAATAAAGCCATATTAAAGACATAGATCACAGGATTTCGTCTGAAAAAAGGTTTTCATTCTGTTAGTGGTGGAAGAGGTCTGAGTTACCGTGATTTACCAGCGGCGAATCACACAGATATGCCGCAACCTCAATTCTTGCCTCCTCAGAAGAAAGAATTCGACTGATGGGCATAAGGCAGAAGGAGAGGCCGAGGCAAGTTTCAGAGCAGGAGTGAAAGTTTATTGAATAGCTTTAGAACTGGAAGAAAAGGAAAGAAGAAGGAAAGCGCAACTTGGAAGAGGTCCAAGCAGGGACTTGAGAAGCCTAGTGCACAACCTGACCTCTTGAATTGGGGTTTTATACATTGGCATACTTCCGGGATCTGGCCTTACTTCTCCTGACCCCTGAGATATTATTGGGAAGCTGCTGACCAGTTTCAGATGTTTTCTATAAGGAGACTATCTTTCCCGGGCACTGGTGGTGACCAATTATTACTTTAGAGAAACAGTTACCAACCACCTGACCATCACCTGATGGTCACCCAACACTCCTGGGGTGTGTGTGTGGGGAAGCCGTCTCCTGCCCTGCTCATACCCGACCAGCCACTGCAGCAATTCTACTTTGTTAAGTACCTTAAAATGAGATTGCTGTGTTGTATGGTTAGTATATTTTTTAACTATGAGAACCTGCCAGACTGATTTCCTAAGTAACTATAACATTTTTCATCACATCAACCGCACATTATGTATCTCGTTGTTATGTATCTTCTTATTTTGAGCACTTATATTTTCAATATTTTTTTAATTAAGCTATCTAATAGATGTGGCAAGTTGCTTTGTCAAGATATTCAGAAATACATATGCATCCAAAAAAGAAACTTTGAAATCGAACACTATTGTTTCCTAAGATTATGGTACAACTTCCTATGTGTTTAGATTGTGTATTAGTATCTTTTAAGCGTACTTTTATATGAGAACTCTATTCTTTTCTTTTTTACAAATTTATTATGAAAACGTTTGTATTTTAATACCATCATTAATGAAATATGTTTCCCATTTTTATTTATAGGAATTTATTATTAGAGTAGAAGAGAATTATTAGTTGGTAATATTATTTTGTACCTACCTTGCATGGTTTAGAAAATTTGTTAAAACTCTGATAGATTTACTCTACTAAGGCCTCTTGAGTTTTATAAAATATAATATTAGGAGCAAAAATATATATCTTTTATGTTTTTCGTATGTTATGTCAGTTATTTTGCTTTTTCTCTTATTTCCTTTTCCAAAATGTATCTGCACAATTTTTTAAACTTAATTTTTATGTACATAAGTGTACATGTTTATGGAGTACATGAGATATTTTGATACAGGTATACAATGTGTAATAATCACATCAGAATAAATGTGGTATCCATCACCTCAAGGATTTATCATTTCTTTGTGTTACCAACATTCTAATTATACTCTTTTAGTTATTTTAAAATGTACAATAAATTATTGTTAACTGTAGTCACCCTGTTGTGCTATCAAATGCTGGATCTTACTCATTTGCTGTAACTGTGGTTTTTATCTAATAATCATCCCCACTTCCCCTGTACCCCTCATCCCCTACTACCCTTCCCATCCTTTGGTAACCATCATTCTAATCTTCGTCTCCATGAATTCAATTGTTTAAATTTTTAACTCCCACAAGTAAGTGAGAACATGGAAAGTTTGTCTTACTGCACCTTCATTATTTCACTTAACACACTGTCCTCTAGTTTCATCCATGTTGCAAATGACAGAATCTCATTATTTTTATTTTATTTTATTTGTTTTTGGCTGATGGATACTTAATTATATACACATACCACATTTTCTTTATCTATTCATCTGCTGATGGACACTAAGGTTGCTTCCAAATTGTAGCTACAGTGAATAGTGCTGCAATAAATATGGGAGTGCAGATATTTCCTTTCTTTGGAATCTATACCTGGCAGTGACATTGCTGGATCATATGCTGGCTCTTTTTTGAGTTTTTTGTGGAACTTCCAAAATATTCTCTACAGTAGTTGTAATGATTTACATTCCCACCAACAGTGCATGAGGGTTTCCTCTTCTCCACATCCTCATCAGCATTAGTTATTACCTGCCATATTGATAAAAGCCATTTTTGCTGGAGTGAGACTATATCTCATTGTAGTTTGGATTTGCATTTCTCTGACAATCAATGATGTTGGGCATCTTTTCATATACCTGTTTGCCATTTGTATAGTCTTCTTTTGAGTGATATATGTTCAGATCTTCTGCCCATTTTTTAATCAGATTACTAGATAATTTTTCCTGTTGTGTTGTTTGAGCTCTTATATATACATGTTGGTTATGAGTCCTTTGTCAGATGGTTAGTTCGCAAATATTTTCTCCCATTCTGTGAGCTGTGTCTTCGCTTTGTTGTTTCTTTTGCTGCGCAGAAGTGTTTGGACTTGATGTGATCCTGTTTTACGTTTTTGCTTTGTTTGCCTGTGGGGTATCAACAAATCAATAAATTTTGCTCACTCCAATGTCCTGGAGTGTTTCTCCAATGTTTATATTTAGTAGTTTCATAGTTTGAGATCTTAGGTTGAAGTCTAATCCAGTTTGAAACATTTCCAGCACCTCAAAAATTACCTACACTTCTGCAGCTAATTCTTCCCTCTGAACCAGCTTGCAGAACATTACATATGTGATTTTTGTCACTAGCTTAATTTGAATTTCTTAGAAATATACATTGAAATCAAATATTATATTCTCCTTTGTGTCCAGCTTTTTTCAGTTATTATAGTGTTTTTGAGATCTATTGATGTCGTTGCATGTATTTGTTGTTGGCTTATAATTTTTATTGATAATTAGTATTCAAATGTATTATCTATTACATCCTATTGATGTGCATTTTACTTGTTCTTGATTTTGGATATGACAAATAAAGTTACTATGAACATTATGTACATGTCTTCTTGTACATATATTTTTAAAAATGTATACTTAAATGTTGCCTGGTTTGGAAGCCATTTAATGAAATGGAATTTTATTTTGTGATTTTTATTTGGTAGTAATATGGTGATGCAATTTGTGAAAAGTAATTTTAAGTACTGCTGTCTTGTGCAACACACTCAATTTTTAGTACCTTTTTTGTGGCTTCCTTAAGATTTTCCATTTATAAAAACTTGTTACTGCAAAAAAGAAAAATAAAATTCACTTCTTTTGACAATCTGTATAATATGTAATTATTTGTCAAATTCATTTTTGCTAAGTACACTGGGTAAGACCCCTTTACAATGTCGAATAGCAGCAGCAAGTGTTGACATCCTTAACTTGTTATAAATTTTAGGTGGAAAGATACAGTATTTTGCCATTATGGCGCTAGTTTGTGGTTTTATCAAATGCCCTTTATTAGCTTGATGAATTTTCTTCTATGCTTAGTTTGTATAAATGAATGTTGAATTTTGTCAAATGCTTTTCTGCATCAAATGTAATCATTATATGTTTATTCTTTTGATTCTGTTTATATGGTGAAATGTTGAATAAATCTTGCTTAAATAAACTTTACTTGGTGAATAGATAGCATGTTTTTATCTTGTGGGACTTAATTTACTAGCATTTCTTTTTTTTTTAATTATACTTTAAGTTTTAGGGTACATGTGCCCAACATGCAGGTTAGTTTCATATGTATACATGTGCCATGTTGGTGTGCTGCACCCAGTAACTCGTCATTTAACATTAGGTATATCTCCAAATGCTGTCCCTCCCCACTCCCCCCACCCCACAGCAGGCCCCGGTGATGGAATTGAACAATGAGAACACATGGACACAGGAAGGGGAACTTACTAGTATTTCACTAGGAATATTTACTTGTGTGCTTTTAAACGATATTGGTCTATAGTGTTTCTCTTATAACATCGTGTCTTGTTTGGTGTCAGACAGCAGCTAATGGCCCTATTAAATGAGTTGGGAAGTGTTTCTTGCTTCCTTAATACACGTAGACATTTAGTCAACAATGAATGCTAAATATTATTAGTTCTTTTGGAATATTTCAATGATTTTTAATATAAATTATATGACAAATTTTGGTCTCAGTGTATTATTTCCTTAATACACTACTGTATTTGCTAACATTTCATAATAATTGTTTTAATCTTTGTAATCCTAAGTAAGATTTGAAATCAGTGTCCTTTTGTGACATAAATTCTTCTTGGTTTCTATATTAACTAGAATTGTGCTTATAAGTTAAAAGTGTTTTTCTTCTTACATAATTAAGGGTTTTACAGCAGAAATTTTATTATCTGAATATAATTTCCTCTGTTACATAGATTTAGTTTTGGCATGTCCTTCTTTATTTTCTAGTTTGTATATTCTCTTTTGATTTCTTCTTTGATGCAATTGTGTAGTGTCCATTTAAATCATTAATTATATTGATTAATTTTTATTAGCAATTTCTAAATATACTTTTCTTGACCACACAGGTTGCTTGTAATAATGCACATATTTGGACTTGGTAAATGTGTTGTTTTCAATACATGGTCACATTTTATTTCCGTTTCTGTTTTTGTTCTTTTGAGACACAGTCTCACTGTGTCACCCAGTCTGGAGTTCAGTGGCATGAACTTGGCTCACTGCAAACTCCACCTCCTGGGTTCAAGCGATTCCCTTGCCTCAGCCTCCCGAGTAGCTGGGATTACAGGCCCACACCACCATGCCCAGCTAATTTTTGTATTTTTAATAGAGGCTGGGTTTTGCCATGTTGGGCAAGCTGGTCTCGAACTCCTAGCCTAAAGTGATCCTCCTGCCTTGGCCTACCAAAGTGCTGGGATCACAGGCATGAGCCACTGCACCTGGGCCATGGTCACATTTTGTATAAGTTTTACATATGTTTAACCAGTAATATATATTCTCTCTATAAATAATAAAAAGATGTATCCATGTGTGTTAATTTAAGATTATTGATTATATTACTCAATTTGTTTACATTTCAACTTCTTTTTCCTTGATCAGGTCTATCAAAATTTGAGCAAGAAATGTAGAAGTCTTAGAATTTTCACCAAAATGTGTTCAGGGATGTACATTTTTCATCACTCCAGCCTGGGAACCTGGTAAACCCCTTCAATATGGAGGCTCCCATTTTTCCTCAAGTAAGACAAATTTTCTTCTATATTTTGTTTAAATATTAGCTCTTCTTACCTGTTTTTATTTATTATTTTATACATGAATTTTATGTATCCTGGCATCTATTTATATGTCTCACCACTTGTTTCATGATATTCTCTTTTGTTGCTTTGCTTTGGAAGTATTTATTGCTCTTAATTTTCCTGGTCACTAGTTCTGAACTCTATATGACTCATTCATGTAATTAGTTTTTATTTTTGTTAAAAAAATTAAGCTTTAGATATTCTGTCACACTGGATCCCTTTACTTAGTTGTGAGGAGAATGTCTTATGTTTAGTTAAAATTTAATAACAAGTTTTATACATTGATGGTATTCTAAGAGCTGAGAATAAAAATATAATTTGTGATGAAATAAAGAAAGGGGAACAGCAAATGCACATTTCAAGACTTAAATACTTAGGAAAAAGGAAATAATCCATGTGATAATCTATAGAAATGGCATTTCATAGTGATAACATCAAATGCAAAAAGCCTAGAGGCATTATAGTTCTGAAAATTCTATGAGACCAAGTTTAGAAATTCTGGCTTCTCCTCATCGCATGGAATGGAGTCAATTGAGTTTGCCAAGGCTGTTCACTTAAAGAATACAGAATCGTCAGGATATGGATACTTTTCTAATGCATAGCAACAACAGGCTGGAACAGCCTGCACTTAGTGTGCTAAAAGAAATCCTCACAAATTAACTAAACTCAAAATATGAGTTTTCTGAGAATTTAAGCCTTCTCAGATTCTGATCTTTTGGTTTTTGGTTTTCTCTTATTTACCTGATCTTGCCAATGATAAAATCATGGTCTTTGGTGCACATAAAATTTCTTCCCACCTCTAACCAATGGGACCATTTAATTGGTTGCTGTGTCATTTATCCTGCTAATTGGAAAGGAGGGGTAGTTATATATGTGTACTCAGCATGCTGTCTTTCAATTTCTACATATTCTTTTTTTTTTTTTTTTTTTTGAGACGGAGTCTCGCTCTGTCGCCCAGGCTGGGGTGCAGTGGCGCGACCTCGGCTCACTGCAAGCTCCGCCTCCCGGGTTCACGCCATTCTCCTGCCTCAGCCTCCCGAGTAGCCGGGACCACAGGCGCCCGCCACCACGCCCGGCTAATTTTTTTTTGTATTTTTAGTAGAGGCGGGGTTTCACCGCGTTAGCCAGGATGGTCTCGATCTCCTGACCTCATGATCCGCCCGCCTACATATTCTTAATACAATATTTTAAATTTATCTACTTGCAGAAACATGCCAAATAGTATTTCAAATTTTATTTCTATATTTTCTTCATTAGGTTTGTCAGAGATACATGTAATCACGGATTTCCTCCAAAGACCTAGTTTATATTTAAATATTAATTATATAATTTTTCATTTTACATATTTTATTTTATAATTCATGCCCTGGGGCTCTACAATCAGTAGGTGGCAAAGCCAGCCAAGACTGTGTTCTTCCCTTCAGGACCGCGTGTGCCCCCAGGCCCCAAGTGCCATCAGGGAGCCAGGACTAGAGTCACAAACCTTAGAAACCTACATAGTGTCCTCTGTTGTACTGCAGCTAAGCTGGCAGTGAAACTGTAAGATGCAGTCCTTCCTACTCTTCTCTCCTAAAGATAGAGGAGCTGCACTGCATGGCCACTGCCACCACAGGCCCACGGGGAGTACTGCCAGGCTACTGCCGATGTTCTCTTAAGGCCCAAGAGCTCTTAAGTCAGCCTGTGGTGAATGCTGCTTGGCCTAGGACTCACCCATGAGGGCAGTGGGCTCTCTTCTAGCTCAGGACAGGTTAAAAAATGCCATCTGAGAACCAAGTCCTAGAAATGGGGTCACCAAGAGCCTGCTTGGTGCTACTCTCCTGTGGCAGAGCTAGTACTTAAGGTACAAGACAAAGTCCCATTTACTTTTCAATCCACTTTTCTCAAGAATAAGGGGTCTCCCCCATAGCCACCATGTCTGGGAATGTGCTGAGTCTAACTTGAAGCAAGCCTCAGAGTCCCACTCAAGACCTACCATGAGTATTGCTGCTGGTTATTCAGGGCCCAAGGATCTTCAGCTAGCAGGTGATGTATTCTGCCATGACTGGATGCTTCCCTTCAAAGCAGCAGGTTCCCCTGTGGTCCAGAGTATGTCTAGAATTATTATCCAAGATCTAGGGGCCTGAAAAAAGGACCTCACCACTCTAACCAGTGCCACATTCTGCTGTGGCTGCGCTGGAATACAAAGTCTTCCCCAGTCTTCCCTCTCCTCTTCTCAAGTGAAAGGAAGGAGTCTCTTTTGGAGCCATCAGCTGTGCAGCCTGGGGTTTAGGTGGGGAGTGGTGCCATCCCTCCCCTAGATACCACAGCTGGTGTTTCAGTAGGTTGTGTCCACCTCACCCCAGTTAACTGACTCTGAGCCCAGTTTAGCACTAGGACTTGCCTAGGAGTTACAGTCCTTGTGACCTAGACTGCCTTTCTAGTTTACTTAGCCCCAGAGCACTCCAGTCCAATGTGTCAATGTTTACTGGAACTTAAGTTCCCTGCTAGAATGGGCAATTCCCCTCTGGCTAGGGTTAGTTTAAATAGTCTTCCCATGGGAAGATGTCCACTGAGTTTGTTCCAATTTTGGTTTCTGCAATAACAGGGAAACACTGAGTTCAATACATTTTCTCAAAATTGCTGTGCTCTCCCTCTCCAAAGCACACAGCTTTTCTCTTCATGTTGCATGGCCATTGATTGCCAAGGGATTGGAGAGGGGTGGCATAGGAAATTCAAGACTGTTTTCCTACCTTTTCAGTGCCTCTTTTAGTGATATAAAATTAAAACCAGATATTGTGAGTGCTCACCTGATTTTTGGTTCTTATGAAGGTGTTTTTTTTTGTTTGTTTTTGGGTTTGTGTGTGTGTGTGTGTGTGTGTCTGTGTGTGTGTGTAGATAGTTGTTAAATTGGTGTCCTTGCAGGGGAGTGATTGGTGGAGCCTTCTATTCTTCCGTCTTGCTCCACCACTCTCCCATTAATTTGCTTTAGTGCTGATTGGGGCATACGTGATTTACTAAGAAATATATTTATACTGAATAAAATGTTTAGCTCACAAAATTACTAGTGTTTATAAAATAATAATTTACTATTGCTCACTCTCATTTCTTTTGAAAACCTTTAGAAGACTGTTTTTTCTGATCAATAACATGAGGAAATATTTGTTTAGTTGTTTCGAGATTATGAGATTTCAAGCTTTACCAAATGAAAGTTTCTTGTCAGAATGGTATTAACATTTGTGGTATAAGAATATTACTAGGAAAATGAAAAAAAGTGACAAAAATGATGCATTGAGGACACTGAAACACTCTACCTCACACAAATCACACCTGACATCACTTATTTATGCAATTTGTTTGATTTCTTTAATTCTACACAAAATAAGTTATAACATTGAATTTAACATATATTTACTTTTGTTTTAAAAGCATATGATAAATTTCTTAAATTCACATAAAAATCTCTATCAGACAGTAGAAGTCAATAATGTGATACCAAAGATACTGAAAAAACTGATGCAATGTTTCATATTTTTAAAGAAATATCAGCCTGGAAAGTCTGGAAGGGGTGACTAGTCACTCCATCAAATGCAGGACATCAATGCAAGTCAATGAGAAACATGAAAAGTAAACAAGGAAACAGTACCAATAAAATAACACAATTATTTTCTCATGACAGACCACAAAGAAACGGAAATCTATGAGTTACTTAAATAATTCAAAATAATCATTTTAAGAATGCTCAGCAAATTTCAAGAGAAAATGGAAACAATCCAAATCAGAAATACAGTTCCTAAAAAACAATAACTTTAACAGAGCAATGAAAATCATAAAAAAATAAATCCTAGAGCTGAAAAATACAGTGAGTTAAATGAAAAATGCAACAGATAACATTAATAGCAAACTTTGTTAAGGAGAAGAAAGAACATGTGAACTAGAGTCAGATAAGAATTAAGAAAAAAAAAAAAAACAAAAAGGAATAAAGAAACTCTACAAGATTTATGTCACCTGAGGCTAGGAGTTCGAGACTAGCCTGACCAACATGGCAAAACCCCATCTCTACTAAAAACACAAAAAATTAACTGAGCATGGTGGCAGTTGCCTGTAATCCAGCTACTTGAGAGGCTGAGGCAGGAGAATCGCTGGAACCCAGGAGGCAGAGGCTGCAATGAGCCCAGATTACTCCATTGTACTCCAGCCTGGGAACAAGAACTTAACTCCATGTCAAAAAGAGAAAAAAAAAGAAAAAAGAGAGAGAATTCTAAATTTTCTCACCATAAGAAATGTTAAGTATGTGATGTGATGTGATGTGATGGCTGTGTTAATTATGTTGTAATTCCACAATGTATGCATATAACAGAACATGTTGTACATCATAAATATGCACAATATTTTTTCTTAAAAGTTGATACCTTGTTATTCCCCACTGAATCGTGAGTGACACAGGCTCAACCTACTGACACACTCTGATATGCAAGAAAGGAAATCTGGAATTTATTTAAATAGAACAGATTGCTTGTTCATTCACATGGTCTATTTTTACGTTTTTTTCACTTGTAGCCAAGGATATATTTTGCTATTTTTGTCAAAGACTTCTTAATAAAATCCACCTTGCTCTTTCTGCCAGTTATGCATTGAATGTTATGGAAAACAAAATATTCCCTCAATTGTATGTTCCCTTAGTAGTTTAGGACTATCCCATATAAAATATTTTCTCAGACAGCCCATCTTAAATAGATGATATAATGTAAAAAGAGAGTGGGTAACCTTTGGCTCTGCTGTCTTCTTGTGGAAAAACATATTGAAGAATTTATCTCCCATATTATTACCACCTCTTGGCAATATACCACTTACTTCAGAGAATTTCAGAGCTCAAACATCCTTGGGAATTATCCACTCCAGCCTTGTCAAAATAGTGTGAACACTGAGACAATGTTTCTACAAAGATTCATTCAATTTATGCTTGATTACATACCAGAACAGGTTCTTCAGTTCTTCAATAAGCAGTCAAACTTTTTGATAAATCATCCTTATAATAAAGTGCAATGTATTTTCCTGGAACTTTGACCCAATTCTATTGTCTAAACCAACAATGAACAAATGCACCTAGTTCTTCTGCATGACATTCTTAGAGATCCTTGTACATAGACAGCAGTTCTTTCAAAGTTCATCTACGTGTTAATTATTTATTGTCCTTTTACATTTGATTTTAATAACACTCCCCATCCTGTTAACTTTATGTGACTGTAATCTATCACGTGAGAGCCGCTCTTAAAATATTGCAAGAAGTGGGCACATAATTCCACCATGTAAGATTTAGTTCAGGCAGGAATTATTTTTAGTAATCTGATCAATTTGACACTTTTAATGCAGTTCAGCATGCTATTTCCATTTTGAACATTTTTGAAATCATGTCAAATTTAGGGATATATGGTTAATACTACCAGGTTCATTGCATATTAAATGCTATTTCTTTAAAAAATTATTACTTTTTGGCTCAATTAAAAATATTCCCATCTGTTATTGACAAATTTTACCTTAGATAGCTTTATCATTTCAAGCCTGTTGATGTCATTGTTAGCTGTAGAGGAATCATGTAATATATTCCTCTTGATTTTCTTATCTTCATCCTCTCTTTACCTTTTTTTCATTCTAAATGGTTTTACTGGGGTTTTCAATTGCACAATCCCACCCTTCTACCACAAGACTTTGTTTCTTTTTTTTATTATTATACTTTAAGTTTTAGGGTACATGTGCACAACGTGCAGGTTAGTTACATATGTATACATGTGCCATGTTGGTGTGCTGCACCCATTAACTCATCATTTAACATTAGGTATGTCTCCTAATGCTATCCCTCCCCACTCCCTCCACCCCACAACAGGCCCCGGTGTGTGATGTTCCCCTTCCTGTGTCCATGTATTCTCATTGTTCAATTCCCACCTATGAGTGAGAACATGCGGTGTTTGGTTTTTTGTCCTTGCGATAGTTTGCTGAGAATGATGATTTCCAATTTCATCCATGTCCCTACAAAGGACATGAACTCATCCTTTTTTATGGCTGCATAGTAATCCATGGTGTATATGGTGTATATGTGCCACATTTTCTTAATCCAGTCTATCATTGTTGGACATTTGGCTTGGTTCCAAGTCTTTGCTATTGTGAATAGTGCCGCAATAAACATACATGTGCATGTGTCTTTATAGCAGCATGATTTATAATCAAACCACTGCTCAATGAAATAAAAGAGGATGCAAACAAATGGAAGAACATTCCATGTTCATGGGTAGGAAGAATCAATGTCATGAAAATGGCCATACTGCCCAAGGTAATTTATAGATTCAATGCCATCCCGATCAAGCTACCAATGACTTTCTTCACAGAATTGGAAAAAACTACTTTAAAGTTCATATGGAAGCAAAAAAGAGCCCGTGTTGCCAAGTCAATCCTAAGCCAAAAGAACAAAGCTGGAGGCCTCACTCTACCTGACTTCAAACTATACTACAAGGCTCCAGTAACCAAAACAGCATGGTACTGGTACCAAAACAGAGATATAGACCAATGGAACAGAACAGAGCCCTCAGAAATAATGCCACTTATCTACAACCATCTGATCTTTGACAAAGCTGATAAAAACAAGAAATGGGGAAATGATTCCCTATTTAATAAATGGTGCTGGGAAAACTGGCTAGCCATGTGTAGAAAGCTGAAACACCTTATACAAAAATTACGACTTTGTTTCTTAAAATTCTGGGTTTTGAACTCATTCACCTGTTCTTTCAGTTCTGTGAGATAGCATATATCCCGTCGTTTTATTCCTAGCTCAATTTCATTCAATACAGATTGCCCTCCAACTAAGAATTCTAACTGTTTTGTATAACACTCAGTTTGACATCCACCAAAAAATTGATTACTAAAATTAAAAATTACTATATATCCATCACAAATTAGAACACATGCACCAACTGCTTATGTAGGCTTTATTTTTCCTGAGAACTGTGTTAATCATTTAGACAAATAACTCTTATTTGTTTTCTGGGAATATAGTTTAAAAGCATAATTTTTATTTTTTTAATTTTTGATTTTTGTGAATACATAGTATGTGTATATATTCATGTGGTACTTGAGATTTTTTATATAGGCATACAATGCAAAATAAGCACATCCCAGAGAATGGATTATCTGTCCCCTTAATCATTTATCCTTTGACTTAGAAACAATCCAATTACACTCTTTAAGTTCTTTTAAAATGTACAATCAAATTATTATTGACTATAGTCACACTATTGTGCAATCAAATAGTAGGCCTTATTCAGTCTCTTTTTCTTGTACCCATTAATTATCTCCACCTTCCCGACAGCACCTTACCACTTTTCCCAGCCTCTGGTAACCATCCTTCTATTCTCTATGTCCATGGGTTTAATTGTTTTAATTTTTAGATTACCCAAATTAGTGAGAATATGTGATTTTTGTCTTTCTGTGCCTGGCTTGTTTCACTTAACCTAATGATTTTCAGTTCCAACCATGTTGTTGCACATAACTGGATTTCATTCTTTTTTATGGCTGAATAGTACTTCATTGTGTATAGGTACCACGTTTTCATAATTAATTCCACTGTTGATGGACACTTAGGCTGCTTCCAAATAGTAGCCATGTAAACAGTGCTGCAGAAAATATAGGAGTGCTGATATCTCTTTGATATATTGATTTCTTTTCTTTTGGGTATATACCCAGCAGTGGGATTACTGGATCATACGGAAAGTCAGTTTTTAGTTTTTTTTAGGAACCTCCAAACTTTTTCCCCCAATGGTTGTACTAATTTACATTCTCACCAACAGTGAACAAGGGTTCCTTTTTCTCTATATCCTTGACAGCATTTGTTATTGCCTGTCTTTTGGATATAAGTCATTTTAACTGGGGTAAGATGATATCTCATTGTAGTTTTGATTTGCATTTCTCTGATGATCAATGATGTTGAGCACTTTTCATATGCCTGTTTGCCATTTATATATCTTCTTTTGAGAAATATCTATTCAAATATTTTGCCCATGTTTTCATCAGATTATTAATTTTTTTTCCCTGTAGAGTTGTTTGCATTCCTTATATAATTTGGTTATTAATCCCTTGTCAGAGAAGTAGTTTGCAAATATTTTCTCCCATTATATGGGTTGTCATTTCACTTTGTGGATTGTGTCCTTTGCTGTGTAGAATCTTTTTAACTTGATGTGATCTCATTTGTCCATTCTTGCTTTGGTTGGTTGCCTGTGCTGGTAGGTTATTGCTCAAGAAATTGTTGCCCAGATCGATATCCCGGAGAGTTCCCACATGTTTTTTTTGTAGTGTGTTTTGTTTTTTTTTTTTCATTTGAGGTCTCACATTTAAGTCCTTAAACCATTTTGATTGATTTTTGTACATGGTGAGAGATAGGAGTCTAGTTTCATTCTTCTTTATATGGACATCCAGTTTTCCGAAAAACATTTATTGAAGAGACTGTTTTTTTTCCAGTAGATGTTCTTGACACCTTTGTCAAAAATGAGTTCACTGTAAGTATGTGGATTTGTTTCAGTTCTCTGTTCTGTTCCACTGGTCTATGTTGCTGTTTTTATGCTAGTGCCATGCTCTTTTGGTTACTAAAGCTTTGTAGCATAACTTAAAGTCAGGTAATGTTATTCTTTCAATTTTGTTCTTTTGCTCAGGATAGCTTTGATGATTCTGTGTCTTTTGGTTCCATATAAATTTGGGAGTTTTTTCTATTTCTGTGAAGAATGTCATTGGTATTTTGAAAGTAATTGCTTTGAATCTGTAGTTTACTTTGAGGAGTATAGAAATTTCAACAATATTGTTTCTTCCACTATATTAACATGGAATATCTTTTTATATCTTTTTATTTTTCGTGTCCTCTTTAATTTCTGTCATTAAAGTTTTATGGTTTTTGTTGTGGAGATTGCTCACTTCTTTGGTTAATTCCTAGGTATTTAAATTTATTTGTATTGTAAATGGGATTACATTTTAAATTTCTTTTTCAGATTTTTTAAAATTGGCATATAGAAATGCTGCTGATTTTTGTATCTTGGTTATGTATCCTGCAATTTGCTGAATTTTTCAGTTCTAATAGTTTTTCTGTGGAGTCTTTAGGATTTTCCAAATATAAGAGCATATCATCTGGAAACAAGGATAATTGGATTTCTTTCCTGCCCATTTGGATGCCCTTTATATATTGCTCTAGCTAGGATTTCCAGTACTGTGTTGAATAACAGTGGTGAGGGTGGGCATCCTTGTCGTGTTCCGCAACTTAAAGGAAAGGCTTTCAGTTTTGGTTTTTTGTTTTTGTTTTTGCTTTTGTTTTTTCCATTTAGTATACTAGCTGTGGATCTTTTGTGTAAGGGTTTTATTATGTTGAAGTAGGTTCTTTCTATCCCCAGGTTTTTGAGGACCTTTATCATGAAGGGATGTTGAATTTTATTAAATGCCTTTTCATCACCAATTTAAATGACCATATGATTTTTATTCTTTATTCTGTTGATATTACAGATATGATTGATTTGCATATATTGAACCATACTTGCATTCCAGGAATAAATCTCACTTTGTCATGATGAATAATCTTTCTAATATATTGTTGACTTCTGTTTAATAGTGTTTTGTTGAGGATTTCTGCATCAATATTGATCAAGGATATGGCCTGTAGTTTTCTCTTTTTGATGTATCTTTGTTAGGTTTGGGTATTAGGGTAATACTGGCCATATAGAATGAGTTTGAAAGTATTCCCTCCTCTATTTTTCAGAATAGTTGTAGTAGGATTGTTATTAGTTCTGTAAATGATAGGTAGAATTAGCAGTGATGTCATCAGATCCTGGACTTTTCTTTACTGGGATAATTTTATTATGGCTTTGATCTTGTTACTTATTATTGTGCAATTCAGGTTTTGAATTTCTTCATGGTTCAATCTTGGTAGGTTGTATGTGCCTAAGAATTAATCAATTTCTTGTAGACTTTCCAATTTGTTGGCATATAGTTGTTCATGGTGGCCACTAATTTTTCTTTAAATTTCTACAGTATCCATTGTAATGTGTCCCTTTTTTATTTTTTATTTTATTTATTTGGATCTTGTTTCCTTTTTTCATAGCCTGGCTAAAGGTTTTTCAATTTTAACTATTCAAAAACCAACTTTTTGTTTTATCAAAATTTTGCATATTTTTAGAATTTAAATTTCATTTATTTCTGCTAGGATCTTTATTATTTTTTTTTTCTTCTAGTAATTTTGGGTTTGGTTTTCTCACTTTTCTAGTTCTTTAAGATGCATTGTTAGATTGTACATTTGTTTTTCTCTTTTTTGATGTAGGCATTTATGAACTTTCCTCTTAGTACTCCATCTGTTATATCTCATAGGTTTTGGTATGTTGCATTTCCATTATCATTTCTTCTGAGAAATTTTTCAGTTTCCTTCTTAATTTTTTCATTGACTCACTGGTCATTCAGGAGCATTTTTTAAAAAATTTTATGTATATGTATAGTTCCCAAAATTCCTCTTGTTATCAATTTCCAGTTGTATTTCTTTGTGTTCAGAGAAGATGCCTTATATTATTTCAAATTATTTGAATGTTTTAAGACTTGTTTTGTGACCTAACATATGGTCTATCCTTGAGAATAATCCATGTACTGAGGAAAAGAATGTGTATTCTGCAGCTCTTGGATGAAATGCTTTGTACATATCTATTACATCCATTTGGTCTATAACACAGATGAAGTCCAATGTTTCTTTGTTTATTTTCTATCTCTAAGATTGGGCCAGTGCTGAAAGTGGGGTGTTAAAGTCTCCATCTATTATTGTATTGGGGCCTAGCTCTCTTGTTAGCTCTAATAATATTTCTTTTATATATCTGGATGACCCAGTGTTGGGTGCATATACATTTAAAAATGTTATATCTCATGTTGAACAGATCCCTTTATTATTATATACTGACAGTCTATGTCTGTTCTTATAGTTTTGGTCTTAAAATCTATTTTGTCTTATTTAAGTATAGCGACTCCTGCTCTTGGTTTCCATTGACATGAAATACTTTTTCCGCCCCTTTATTGTCAGTCTATGTGTGATTTTATAAGTAAAATGTGTTTCTTTTAGGCAACAGATCTGTAGGTCTTGTTTGTTTTTTTTTTTATCAATTCAGCCACTTTATGTCTTTTCATTGGAATGTTTAGACCATTTACATCAATGTTATTATTGATAAGTAAGGACTCACTCATGCCATTTGTTATTTCTTTTTCCAGTTGTTTGATTATCTTCTTTCTTTTGTTTTGTCTTTCTCTAGTGAAGGTGATTTTTTTGCTGGTGATATAATTTAGCTTTCTGCTTTTTATTTTTTTGTGTATTCACTGTATTTTTTTGGTTGAAGTTGCCATAATGCTTGAAAATATTATAACCCATTATTTTAGCCTGATAACAACACTATTTGCATAAAAAAAGCTAATAAGAACTCTATGCCGTAACTTCATCTCCCCCACTTTTTAACTTTTTATTTTTTCTATTTATACTTATTGTAATATGTCTTGAAAAGTTGTTGTAGTTACTATTTTTAATTGGTTCAATATTTTGTCTTTCATTTTTGTCTTTCTACTTACGTTATGAGTAGTTTACACACCACAGTTGCAGTGTTATAATATACTGTGTTTTTCTGTGAACTTACTTTTACCAGTGAGTTTTGTACCTTCAAGTGATTATTTATTGCTCATTAGTGTCCTTTTCTTTATGGTTGAAGTACTCCCTTCAGCATTCCTTGTAGGAGATATCTGGTGTTGATGAAACTCCTCAGCTTTTTTTCAGCTGGGAAAGTCTTTATTTCTCCTTAATGTTTGAAGAATATTTTCTCTGGATATCCTATTCTAGGGTGATAGTTTTTGTTTCGTTTTCTTTCCCCTGCAGCCCTTTAAATATGTCACGCCACTGTCTCCTAGCCTGAAATATTTCCACTGAAAAATCTCTTGCCAGACTTATAGGAGCTCCATTGATTATTTTCTCTTGGTGCTTTTAGGATCCTCTCTTTATTCTTGACCTTTGGGAGTTTACTTACTAAATGCTTTGAGGTAGTCTTCTTTAGGTTAAACCTGCTTGGTGTTCTGTAATGTTCTCGTATGTGAATACTGATATCTTTCTCTAGGTTTGGGATGATCTACCCCTATCTCTTTCTATAACTACTTTTTAAGACAAATAACTCTTAGATTTGCCCCTTTGAGGTTATTTCTAGATCTTATAGACATGTTTGATTGTTTTATATTCTTTTATATTTTGTCTCCTCTGAGTGTGTATGTTCAAATAGCCTATCTTCAAGCTCACTAATTCTTTCTCCTTCTTGATCAATTCTGCTATTACATTACTCTGATGCATTCTTTAGTATGTGTATTTCATTTTTCAGCTCCCTAATTTCTGGATTATTTTTAATTATTTCAATCTCTTTGTTGAATATATCTGATACTATTCCAACTCCTCTGTGTTATCATAAATTTCTCTGAGTTTCCTCAACACAGCTATTTTGAATTTTCTGTCTGAAATGTCACATATCTCTGTTTTAGGATGTCGATTTGAGATCTTTCTAGCTTTTTGATGTGGGCATTTAGTGCTATAAATTTTCCTCTTAACAGTACTTTAGCTGCATCCCAGAGATTCTGGTACATTCTCTCTTTGTTCTCATTAATTTCAAAGCATTTCTTGATTTCTGCCTTAATTTTCTATTTACCCAGGAGTCATTTAGAAGCAGGTTGTTCAATTTCCATTTAGTTGTGTAGCTTTGAGTGAGTTTCTTAATTATGAGTTCTAATTTGATTGTGCTATTGTCTGAGAGACTCTTTGTTATCATTTCAATTCTTTTGCATTTGTTGAGGAGTATTTTACTTCCAATTATGTGATCAATTTTAGAGTAGGTGCCATTTGGCACCAAGAAAAATGTATATTCTGCTGTTCTGGGTTGAGAGTTCTGTAGATATCTATCAGTTCTACTTTATCCAGAGTTGAGTTCAAGTACTAAATATTCTTGTTAATTTTCTGTTTTGATGATCTGTCTAATGTTGGCAGTGGGGTGTTAAAGTTTCCCACGATGATTGTGTGGTAATCTAAGTCTCTTTGCAGGTTTTAAGAAGTCATTTTACGAATCTGGGGGTTCCTGTATTGGGTGCATATATACTTAGGATAGTTTGCTCTTCTTGTTGAATTGAACACTTTGCCATTATGTGAAGCCCTTCTTTGTATTTTTTTTTTACTTTGTTAGTTTAAAGTCTGTTTTGTAGAAACTAGGATTGCAAGCTCTGCTTTTTTCTACTTTTCACTTGCTTGGTAAAGTTTCCTTTATCCCTTTATTTTGAGCATATGTGGGTCTCTGCTTGTGAGATGGGTCCTTTGAATACAGCACACTAATAGGTCTTGTCTTTTTAGAGCTTGCCATTCTGTGTCTTTTAATTGGAACAGTTAGCCCATTTACATTTAAGGTTAATATTGTTATGTGTGAAGCAGTGTTAATATAAATTATTTTTTCCTTAAAAGTATAGGTATAGAATATATAATCTTTTATAAAATAACTGTGCATTTATAAAATGACTGTGCATTCTGGTAAAGTATTATTGACTTGTTGTCCATGAATATGCTCAGGTGAAAATTTTTATATAATCAAGAATTTAGTGCAGAATCTTTATTTCTACAGAACAAGTACATTAAAATAATTTCATTCTTGTTAGCATAACATGTTTTATTAATTTTAAAACACTATACAATTTATAGAGAAAATTGTAATGGTCAAACAGATATTATTAAAGTCACCAAACATGTTGTTATATTAAAAGTAGATAACTATGCTTTAAAAAAGCAATGACAGTAGAATTTAGAATAATAAAGTTATCTTTCAAACTGATTTATATTAAGGCCTGATGTATTTTGCAAATAATTAAGCATGTGTGTGTGTATATATATATATATATATATATATATATATATATATATATATATACACACACACACACACTTAATATATTAATATATAAAGGGTAATATGTTCTAAAATGTATAAAAATATTATACTACAGTATAACGATCATACTTGATACATTCATTGTTGCTGTGGAAATTTTTTTGAATTTATAATACATACTCTGTGCACATCATACTTTGATTTTTTTAGGTCATTTGGTCTTTTACTAGTGAATTGTGTCTTCTCTGCACAGATAAGTCAACAACATAATTTCTATGATTTCCGTATAATTAAAATTGTAAAAATGAAGTTAATTATTATGGTAGGCAGAATTCTAAGATGGCCCTCATAATTTTTGCTCCTTTAAGCCCCTGATTATGTTATATTACATGGCAAAGGGATTGTGCAAATGTAATTAAGTTTCAGTTGACTTTGAGTTAATAAAAAGAGAGATTATCCAGGTGGGTCTAACCTAGTCAGTCACATGAGCCCTTCAAAAGCAGTTTTCTGTGGCTGTTTTAGGAGAAGTCAGAGAGATTCAAATAATGAGAATTCAATTGAAGGAAGGTTTTCTATTGCTGTGAGAGCAGAGGCCACAGGGCAAAGATCTAACAGTGACCTTAGAGGCAAAGGTGCTCCCTAGCTGTCAATCTGCAAGAACATAAAGACATCAGTCCTATGACTATAAAGTAATAAATTCTGCTAACGACCTGAAGAAAAAAACCTGGAAGTAATGTTTTCCAAAACCTCAAGGTGAGAACTCAGACAAGCTAATACCTTGTTGTCAGTCTTGTGATACCCTGAACAGAGAACCCAGTCATATACTACCTGAAATCCTGACCTACTGAAACTCTGAGATATTAAACAGGTGTTACTTAAATTTTCTAAATTTATGTTAATTTGTTAAGCAGCAGAAGACAACCAATATAATTCGTAAAATTTGCTTGATAGGTCGATGAAACCTCCTAACCCTTTCAATGAGACAGTTTTAAGAACACTGACAAGACAAGTAGGCTGGTTTATATTAGGTTGTGCAAAAGTAATTGCGGTTTTTGCCATTATCTTTCATGTACCAACATAATAGCAGGGATCCCCAACCCCTGGACAGCAGACCAGTACCAGTCCTGTCTGTGGCCTGCTAGGAACAGGGGCGCACAGTGGGAGGTAAGTGGCCCTGAGCGAACATTACTGACTGAGCTCCACCTGTTGTCAGATTAGTGGCTGAACTCCACTTCCTATCAGATCAGCTGCAGCATTAGATTCTCATAGGAGCGCAAACCCTATGGTGAACTGCACATGCAAGGGACTTAGGTTGCATGCTCCTTATGAGAACCTAACTAATGTCTGATGATCTGAGGTGGAACAGTTTCATCCTGAAACCTCCCCTACCCCCACTGTCCGTGAAAAATTTGTTTTTGCCATGAAACCCATCTCTGATGCCACTCATCTCCTGCTGTGCATCCAGCAATAGAAGATAATAGGCCACAGACTGGACTGGCACTGGTCTCCTTCCCCCAGGGTTGGGAACCCCTGCTATAAACCAGCCTACTTGTCTTGTCAGTCCTCTTAAACATATCTCACTGAAAGTGTTAGGAGGCTTCATCAACCTATCAAGTAAATTTTACTACTTGTACTGGGGATTGCTGGTTTATGGGACTCAGTTGCCTGAAGGCAATTAGGAAAATGAGGAGGTTAGAATGAGATGAAGTAGGGCCCAAAGAAAGGCTTCTCTAGGTCTGAATTTCATTCAGATCCTCACATGAATATACATAAATAATTTGGATTTGGAGAATTATAGCATCTTCCTGGGAAAAATTCTGCAACTCAAAGTTACCTTTATAGCTATTAAGTGACTGGAAGACATTACAGACTAACAAGTGGCAGCTTTTTTATGGACAGTTACTGAGGAAACAGAAAACAGATCAAACAATAATTTCACACATCATAAATGACAAACCTATATATAAATGAGAAGTGAAGGGGCTCAAAGACAGGAATTTGTGGAAGTTGATGGGGAAAAGAAAAGCATCCTAGAAAGTCACAGACAGGGAACGTTATCAAAGCCATCTAGAAACCAGGGAAAAAGAATTATGTTTATGTTTTAACAGAGACCTACAGCACCTCAATAAAGGAAAATGGTTATTGGAAATTTTTTCAGGCATTGGAGTAGATGCAGGAGTAACATTTTGGGACTCCCTGAGTTACACTCTATAGGAGCTGTCTACAGCTAAGGTTTGCACCTGCACAGTCTTAGATAGCTTCATTATACTAACACTGGCAAAATATAATATGTTTACATTTGCAATATAATATGCATGTAAAATATAGATGACATATGCTAATATTTTGAAAATCTCAGTCATATATTTTTAGATATGTCTTCTTTCTGATAGCATTTGTTTATTCTTTCACTTTCTCTAGTTTTAATTATTCTAGTTAAAAGAATTTACTTAAATAACCTACTCATTTTGTCTTCTGAATAATATTAACTATTATCCTTATCATTTTTTTGCTCTACAGTTTTTTCAGGCTGGTTTTGTTCAAATTTTGTAATTTGAACAGTTTGAATATATGACTAATTTTTTTATTCTTTTTAATAAGGAAAGCATTTATAAGTCCATGGATTTTCCTATTAGTAAAGTGTGCCTATTCTACAAATACTGAGCTACAATTTCATTGTTATTATTCAGATATATTTTTCACTTCCTCTGAGATATAATTATTAAACCGCAGAACTATTGAAAAGTCATTTTAGTAAAGGTGAAATTTGAGTCAAGACTTGTTGACAAAACTAATCCAGATATGCAGACATCTGGGCAAAGTCCATATCTGGAAAAATTACTGCCAAATGCGAATGTGAAAAGAACTTGGCAGGATGGGAACAGAAGTAAAGGCATACAGTACATTCACACTTTCAAATCAAGCCAAGATTTCTTAGTTATGCCTATTTGAAGCACCCTTATCTGAAACATTGCCTGAACCTCTCTATTTTAGATTTAGTGCACTTCTTGAAGGAATATGAAAATGAACTTGAAAAAAAAAGTTCATTTCCTTATTGAGTGGACAAAGAGAGAGAGATTAGACCATTAAGGGGAACCAAGGTAGATAGTTATGTTTAAAGGAAAATTTCTTCTATTTTGCTAAAGTACAACCAGGAAAGAAAACAATCATCTCCCTAGTCAGTCCAGATGCTTTTACCAAGGTGCTGAAAACATAAACAAAAATAATCTGAGAAGAGATTATCTGAAAATGAGAAATCTGATTAAGGCATTTTGATGTTAAATATGACTTTTTTTTTTTTTTACCAACTACTCCAAGTGAGTTTCTCCAATAATTAATTACTAGCATTAAAGCAAAATCTTCTTGATGTGCCAGATATAATCTTTCCTTCCATCAAAAATAGATGGCAAAAAAACTAACCTATACTTTATTATATATACTACCCTTTTATTTTCTTGGTACCAAGCACAGAGTCTAATAAATCTTTAGAATAAACGTTTGGTTCAATACATCAAAGTATGTGTTTGAAAGGTTTCATTTGTCTCTGAATCTTTATTGACTCTAATTCTGATGAAAACACAATACTTAAATATACTTCAATATTTAGTAGACTAATCTCTCATAACTTGGAAATCAAATTACTTTTTCTAGAAAACTTAGAGAGTGTACTCAAATACTTTCTCAAAATACAGGCATACCTCAGAGATACTGCAGGTTCAGTTCCAGACCTCCACAATAAACCAATGTTGCAATAAATCCAGTTAGATATTTTTTTTGGATTCTCAATGCATAGAACAGTTATGTTTACCCTATACTGTAGACTAGTAAGTGTGCAATGGCAGTAGGTATTCAAAAACAATGGACATACCTTAATTAAAAGTACTTTACTACTAAAAAGGTTCATGTTCATCTGAGCTTTCAGTGTGTCATAACCATTTGGCTAATGAAGGGTCATTCTTCACTGTTAATGGCTGTTGACTGACCAGGGTCATGGTTGATGAAGTTTGGGTGGCTTTGGCAATTTATTAAAATAAGACAACATTGAAGTTTGCCATGTTGATTGACTCTTATTCTCATGAAAGATTTCTCTGTAGCATACTATGTTCATTGGTAGCATTTTACCCACAGTAGAACCTTTTTCAAAATTGAAGTTGACCCTTTCCAACCCTGCCACTGCTTTATCAACCAGGTTTATGTAATAGTCTAAATTCTTTGTTGTTATTTGAGTAATGTGCAGAGCATCTTTACCAGAAATAGATTCTATCCAATAAACCATTTTCTTTGCTTATCCATAAGAGGCAGCTACTCAACCTCTAAGTTTTATCATGAGATTGCATGAATTCAGTCCCATCTTCAGGCTCCACTTCTAATTCTTGTTCTCTTACTATTTTCACCATATATAGTTACTTCCTCCATTGAAGTATTGAATCCCTAGAAGTCATCCATGAGAGTTGGACTCAACTTCTTCCAAATTCCTGTTAATACTTTGACCTAGTGTCAAGAATCATGGACATTCTTAATGGCACTTAGAATGGTGAATTCTTTGCAGAAGGTCTTCACTCTCCTTTGCCCAGATCCATCAAAGAAATTACCATCTATGGCAGCTATAACCTTACAAAGTGTATTTCTTAAATAATAATACTTGAAAGTTGAAATTACTTTTTGATACTTGGACTGCAGAATGGATGTTGTGCTATCAGGCATGAAAACATCACTAATCTTTTTGTACATCTCCATAAGAGCTCTTGGGTGACTAGGTGCATTGTCAGTGAGCAGTAATATTTGAAAAGAATCTTTTTTTTTATCTGAGTAGTAGATCTCAACAATAGGCTTAAAATATTCAGTAAACCATTAGACAGATATGTTGTCATACATGATTTGTTATTCCACTTATAGAGCACAAGCAGAATAGATTTAGTCTAATTCTTAGGGGCTCTAGGAGTTTTTGAATGGTAAATGAGCATTATCTTTAGGTTACCAACTGAATTAACCCCTAACAGGAGAGGAGCCTATCATGTGGAGCTTAGAAGCCAGGCATTGCTCTCTCCTTTCTAGCTATCAAAGTCCTAGAGAACATTTTATTCCAGTACAAGGCTGTTTCATCAACATTGAAAATCTATTGTTTAGTGCAGCCAACTTCATCAATGAGCTTAGCTAGATCTTCTGGATAACTTGCAGCCTCTACACCAGCACTTACTGGTTCACCCTTCACTTTTATATTATGGAGATGGCTTCTTTCCTTAAACCTCATGAGACAATGTCTGCTAGCTTCAAACTTTTCTTCTGCAGCATCCTCACCTCTCTCAGCCTTCAGTGAATTGAAGTGAGTTAGGGCTTTGTTCTGGATAAGGCTTTGACTTAAGAGGATGTTGTGGTTAATTTGATCTTCTGTCCAGACCACTAAAACGTTCATATCAGCGATAAGGCTATTTCACTTTCTTAACATTTTGTGCTCACTGGAGTAGCACTTTACGTTTCCTTCAAGAACTTTTCCTTTGTATTCACAACTTGACTAACTGACACAAAAGGTCTAGCTTTTGGCCTGTCTCAGCTTTGACATGCCTTCCTCACTAAGCTTAATCATGTTTAGCTTTTGATTTAAAGTGCGTCCAGGGTAAGTCTTCCTTTCACTTGAATACCTAGAGGCCATTGTAGGACTACTACTTGGCCTAATTTCAATATTGTTGTGCGTGAGGGAATGGGGAGGCCCAATCAACGGAAGATGGGGAAATGGCTTGTTGGTGGAGCAGTCAGAACACATACAACATGTATCAACTAGGTTCGGTGTCTTACATGAGCACGGTTTGTGATGCCCAAAAACAATTTTATCACAAACCTTTAATTTGTAAAAAATGCAATATCTGCAAAGTGCAATAAATCTAAGCGCGTACAATGAAGTATGGCCGTATTCATTTTTCATGGCTGCTGTAACAAACTACCACAAACTGAGTGGCTTAATATGTCAAAAATTTATTATCTCCCATTTCTGGTGGTTAGAAGTTTAAAATCAAGGGATTGGAAAGGTTGTTTTCTAGGTATAGAAAGATTCAATTTCATTATCGAAACATTTGATTAAGCTAATTAACATATCCATCACCTCACCAATTTATAATTTTTTTGTGATAACAATATTAAAAATCTATTTTAGCAATTTTGAAATATATCTGTGTTCACCATGCAGCTTGGTTGAATCTTTCTTTAATGTACACATTAATCAAAATGTCACATTGTACCCCATAAATATATATAATTATTATTTGTCAATTAAATATAAATAAATCGGTTTTTTTTTTTAAAGACAATAGTTTGTTTCTTCTAGAGGGCTCTAAAACAGTTTGTCTCATTCCTTTCTCCTACCTTCATGTGGTTTTCTTCAGTCCTTGGTGACTCTTGGCTTGTGGATGCATGCCTCCAGTTTCCGCATCTGTCATCATATGGGATTCCTCCTGTATATCTTTGTCAAGATTTCCCTTTTGTTATAAGAACAGCAGTAATTGAATTAGAGAATACCCTAAGCTAATGATATGGTTTGGCTGTGTCCCTACCCAAATCTCATCTTAAATTATAGTTCATATAATCCCCATGTATCGTGGGAGGTAATTTAATCGTGGGGACAGTCAGGCTCAGGCTGTTCTCGTGATAGTGAGTTCTCACGAGATCTAATTGTTTCATATGGAGCTATCCCCCATTTTGCTTGGCACCTCCCCTTGCTGCCATCATGTGAAGAAGGATGTGTTTGCTTCCCCTTCCACCATGATTGTAAGTTTCCTGAGGCCTCCCCAGCTCTGTGGAACTGTGAGCCAATAAAGCCCCTTTTCTTTATAAATTATGCAGTCTCAGGTGTGTCTTTATTAGCAGCATGGGAATGAACTAATACACCTAATATGACCTAATTGAAACTGGGTTTACATTTGCAAAGACTCTATTTCTAAATAAGGTCACATTCATAGGTATATAGGATTAGTCGGAACATATCTTTCGGGGAGATAAAATTCAATCCATAATACTTCTTTTAGCTTGCTCAGCAATATTTTGTACTTTCATTATTGTAATCTGGAACATATTATATTAAATATATTCATAAGTATTTTATGCTCTTAGTTCTGTATGTAGTGTTTTAAATTTTTACTTTACATTAATTTGTCATTAGTTTATGGAAATGCAATTGTTTTTTTACAGTGAACTTGTACCCTATAGTTCAGATAAATCCTTTTACTTTTTATAGTAGAGGTTGTAGATATGTTTGAGATTGTCTACATTGATAACCACTGAATAGAGACAAATTACTTCTTTATTTTTAATCATTTATTTCTTTTTCTTGCCTCATTAAATTGTACAGGATCTTCAGTATAAAGTTGGACAGTAAGCAGATATCTTTGTTTTACTTTCATTCCTGAATTCCCCATTATTTTATTTTTCTAGAGATTCCATTTTTCTACTTAATTCTGTATATGTTCACTCACTATAAAACAATTTCTTTGAAATTCTTGAGTATAGGTTTTTATACTTATTAAACTATATCATCTAATACCTATTGTCTGATTCCTGAAAAACAATCATCTCAGTTATTTTATTGTTTCTAGTTTTTAGATTTTTGGATTGTGGTTGTTGTGCTTTGTTTGTTTTTTAGCTGGAAGCCCAGTCTGGGACAAGGTCCTCTGTCATAGCATGCAATGGATTTATAGTTATTAAACTCCAAAATTAAAAAACAGCAGGTTTAAAGTCCTTGTCAATTAAATACAACATCTAAGGTCTGTTTGTACTTATTTTCTTTATTATAGTTCACATTTTCCTATTTATTGGCAGGTCTAACAGTTTTTAGGTGTTCAGATTGTTTAGTAAAGTTTTTAGTTTTTTGAAGGAACAGACTATGTTGTCTTGCTTTATAGAATTTTTGTTTTGTTCTGATAGACCACTAAATTAATGAAGATCCTTGTTTGTGTCTGGTTTGATCATTCTTTTTACTGTTATGTTAGGTCTATTTGAGTTTTGAACTTTGTCCTTGGGCCTAGTTTTAACTGTCAAAACAAGGTATTTTTGAGGCATCATAATGAAGCCTGACATTCTCAGTGAGGTTTTTCTACTCAGCTTAACATGGAATTCCAACTTCTGTAATCACTGTACCATCTTGGTTAGTTCTGTTCTGTTCTCAGTCCCACAGCGGCAATCTCATTTAGACTTCCCACAATCTCACCCACAAGCCAGCTCATGGAAACCACCCTAATTTGATATTCCCAGCTAATGTTTCCCTCTACCCCGTACCTTCTAAAACATTCCATCATTTTAATTACTTTTTCTCTAAAATTCCAAGTGCACTAGCCACCTAGAACTCCAATATTTACCTCCTCAGGTTAGAAAGACTGTCAATATGCTTGGGTTTTATTTTCTTGCATTAAGGCAGCAATGTGCTTCCAGGTAGAAAGTCAGGCAATCATAGATCCTCACGTTTCCACTCTCTTAAATATGAAAGTCCCTATTGTCAATTCCTGAAAAACAATCATCTCATTTATTTTATTTTGTCCAGTTTTTAGATTTTTGGGTTGTTGTTGTTGTGCTTCATTTGTTTGTTTTTTTAGCTGGAAGCCCAGTCTGGGACAAGGTCCTCTGTCATAGCATACAATGGAAGTACTTTTTCTTATAGGCTTCAGAAGACCAATGGAATGATTTTCATTTTTTAACCATACACTGCTGTTTTAATTTTTAACTTAATAAAAGTTATGAATTGACTAAGCTTATTTATCTCCAAAAAGAAATGTATAAATAGGTAGTCAGAAACACCAAAAATAAAATCATCAATTTCATGAGCATGTTTTATGAAAAATAGTCCAACATTCTGGAGATTTCAACAAGTAAATTTATTTACTCCTTCATTCATTTAATCATCTTTACATATGAAATATTGATTAAATTTGTTATTTTCTAGGCATTAAATTGAATGTTGAAGATTACAGTTGATATCCAAAAGTAGTTTACATGATGGTAAATAGAATATGACAGACGAATATGTAACATACCTTTGATGTCACTTTTATTATTATTATAATTATTATTAAGCTATGTAAAAGGAGCTATGTTAACATGGGTGAATAAATCATTAGCTCTATTTTGGCTCCACTGTGATGAGATTAAGATAAGACCCAAAGAAATAAATAGTGAGATTTTTCCTAATAAATTAAATTTTAGGACAAGTTTGAATAACTTGAAGAATTGTTGATACAGTAGAGCATGGCTGAAAAACTGGGTTTGGGCTAGCTGTAGGCCTCGTCATGTTGATTATTAATTTAATATGGTTCTGTGGACATCAGATATTTATAGCAAGGAATCTATTTTTATCAGCTACATGTTTTTGGAATTTAACTGTTTTGACATACAGATGATATATTGAAGAAATTAGTGGCTAGTGTCTGGGAAAATTATCAGAAGGTTATTGCTCTAGTCAGTCAAGGGATGAGGAGCTGAATTATTGGTGTAGTTGTGAGATACAGAGAATAAAATAGATGGGAGAAATTTGTTTCATGAGCAATTATATTTTATGTAATGTATTGAATGCCTGTTGAAACCTTAGGTAGTAGATGCAGTACCCTAAAAGTTGTTGACAAGAAGCAAAATTTTCATTCAGTAAATGTTAAACACCTTCTCTCCATAAGGCATTTTATAATGCTGGGATCTGAAATTGTGCTAGTGTAATAAATGTTTGCCCTATCTTGATTTCTATCTTCTTCTAGCTTCCCTTAAACACAACAATGAAAAAAATGTTGGCAAATTGTAAAGTCAGTGATGGGGACTGGAAGGGCTGCTCAGGGTCGAATTGGACCCAGAGAAGTAAAATTAAGCAAATAAGGTATTTTGCTGACCTAACCTTTCCAAATTTTTTTTTTTTTGGAAAGTAAAATTAAAGGGATTTTTTTAAAGTCTTCTAGTTGCTATGTAAAATTGTATTATATATGAGTTAGTCAACCTTAGACAAATGTGTTAACTATCGTTTAAAAATTTTTGGAAATGATAAATTATAGTTAACATCAAGACATTATAGCCTAACCTCTCAAATCTGTGACTTGTTGCTCATTAATATTGATAACTGCTAAATATATCTCTCACTTTACTTTCCACCAAGTAGAAAAAATTGGCATTTTTCAGTAATGACCTCTCAATCTTCTCTTTTCCCTAGATCTTCTTTTTTCATGAAATTTTCCATTTTAGTTTTGAGTTATGCTTGCAGATTTTTATCTCTAATGAATTGTATGCCTTTGTCCTCTGCAAAAGTATTAAGCTAGACATATTAGTATGCAGTTACAGTCTTCTTTGTTTGCTCTCTATTTCAATTAGCCCTTTTATTTAAATTTAAATTTGGAGTTTTATTACTATGTTTTAACTAATTAGCTTTTATGTACACTGTGCTGTTCTACCAATTTCCCCTACATTGTTTCAGGAAAAAGTTTCTTACTATATTGCATTGCTGAATGTCTCACAGCTTAGTATTTTCCAATTATTCTTTACACACTTAACTTTTTAAAGATCTATAAAATATTAAAAAAATATAAAAACTAACTTTCAGTTTTCAGTTTATAGAATCATTTAGTAGGGTAGAAATGTTTCCCTAATGTTTTTATGAGATGGACTGAGGTGTACATAAGACTAATTGAGGGATTCCTTTGCAACACACAATCACAAATGCCTCTAATTATGAATTTTTAAATTATAAGAGCACATGACTCATTGTACATTCTTTTTTAAAGCCTCATAACTAGTTTTGCAGTAGTGCTAAGATCCACCTTATGATTTGAACACCAGGCAATGTCTCTCTCTCTCTCTCTCTGTCTCTCTCTATCTATCTCTTTCTCTCTTTCTCTGCACTTTGCATACATCAGCCCCTCTCCCGGGGCTAGTAGCTTTTTTTTTTTTTTTTTTTTTTTTTTTTTTGAGACGGAGTCTCGCTCTGTCGCCCAGGTCGGACTGCGGACTGCAGTGGCGCAATCTCGGCTCACTGCAAGCTCCGCTTCCCGGGTTCACGCCATTCTCCTGCCTCAGCCTCCCGAGTAGCTGGGACTACAGGCGCCCGCCACCGCGCCCGGCTAATTTTTTGTATTTTTAGTAGAGACGGGGTTTCACCTTGTTAGCCAGGATGGTCTCGATCTCCTGACCTCATGATCCACCCGCCTCGGCCTCCCAAAGTGCTGGGATTACAGGCGTGAGCCACCGCGCCCGGCCGCTAGTAGCTTTTTATGTGGCAGTTTTTTGCAGCAGCAATAGGAAACTAGTACAGACATTAGTACTAGAAAGTGGGGTACTTCCTGGCAGCTTTTTATGTGGCAGTTTGTTACAGCAGCAATAGGAAGCTAGTACAGATATCAGTACTAGAAAGTGGGGTACTTCTATAGCACATACGAAAATATGTGGAAGTGGCTTTAAAATTAGGTAATGGGTAGAGGCTGAAAGAAGTTTAAGAAACATTATAGAAGTGCCTGGGGAGTCTTGAACAGAATGTTAGTTAGTTTATGGGCATTCAAAGGGTTTCTAGTGAGGGTGCAGTAGGAAGTGAGGAGCACAGGAGAAAAACTTATTGTCTCAGAGAATACTTTAATTGTTATATGTAGGCTGTTGGTAGAAATATGGATATTAAAAGGGCTGCTGTTGGGAGACCAGAAACAAATGAAAAATATGGTACTAGAATCTGGAAGAAAGGGGATCCTTGTTATATAATAGCAGGAAACTTAGCTGAATTATATTTTCTAGTTGTGTGGAAAGGAACTGTATCTGATAAACTTGGATATTTAGCCGAGGAGATTTCTGAGCAATGTGTTGAAGATGTGGCTTTGTTTTTTTCTTATGAAATGTGAAATGTAAGAGGAAAGATATAAATTGAGGGCAAAATTCTTATGCAAAAGTGAGCCAGGGCTTTCAAAACATGCTACTATGAGGGGATTAACTGTCAGGAAAGCATGCTCTGAAAAAAAAGCCAAGTGTATGGCTTGACAACATTTTGCTACTGTCTGGAAGAGATCAAACAATCAGACTATTTAATCACACAGGGGACTATGAAGAGATTAGGCATGTGACTAGGCATGAAATCCAGAAAGGTAACTCAGCAGAAGCCATAAGTAGTGATAGAATTGTCTAGAAAAGATATGTACAGGAGTTTCTTGTCTGATAAGATGAAGCTCCTGACATATGAGGAAAGTAATAGTGGTACAACCACAAGCAAGAAATGTTAGCACTTTCTAGAGCAAGCTTGTCCAAACTGCAGCCCACGGGCCCCATGTGGCTCAGGATGGCTTTGAATGCGGTCCAACATAAATTCGTAAACTTTCTTAAAACATGATGTTTATTTTAGTTCATCAGCTGTTCTTTTTTATGTGTGGCCCAAGACAATTCTTCCAATGTGGCCCAGGGAAGCCAAATAATTGGACACCCCTGCTCTAGAAGCTGGAAAAGACAAGAAACAGTTCCTAGTCTAGAATCTTCAGAAAGAACTAGCCTTGCCCAGCATCTTGACTTCATTACGTTGAAACTTATTGTGTACTTCTGCCTCCAAAACTGCAAGACAGAGCATAGTATGTGTACGTGTGTATATGTGTTTGTGTATTTAAGTTACTCAGTTTGTCATAATTTGTTTATAGTAGCAATAGGAAACTGTTACAGAGATTGGTTCCACTTGAAATTATTAGGTATGTACATAGATTAAGGGAGAAATGAGTAGATCTGTCATAATGGATTATAGGTAGATTCTTTTGGGAAAAATGTGTTGCACACAATTACCTTCATATAACTGTATTAGGTTGTTTTGCCGGGTAACAGTAAAAAATGCTCAATCCTGGCACATTCATTTATTTTGAGTCTAAAGTATACTGCCAATTTTTTAACTTCTAACTTAGTCTATTAGTACTTGTCCCACATAAAAAGAATTTACTTTATTTTTTTATCTTTTTTTGTATTTGATAGGGGCAGGTAGCTATTGCAGAGGAAATAATCATTCTGAGAATAACTGAGAGGTTAAAACTTTATTTAAAAAAAAACCTCTGAATCAATATTTGGTGAGGTGAGAATGTCCATTTCATGCTGCTATTTTATCCAAATAAAGTTAAAGCATTGTAGAAATGTATGGCTATATGTTAGGACTTGAGATACTAAAATAATTAAGGTGTATAGAGTTTGGCAACCTCTAGATATTATTCGTGTATTATTTTTAGTTTATGAGGTTACATTCAACTTGTATCAATCTATTCTGTTCATGTGGTCACTCATTAAATAGAAAAATTGAATGCCACGCACATTTCACTAAGCCCTTTGCTTTTTCTCATTTAAACTATTTCGATAACAGAGTTATATGATAAGATTATTCTATAAATATTGACTTCTTAACAGAGCATCTTATTAAAAAGTATGGCATTATATATGCAAGGGTTTTTAGCATAATCAAACTTCTTTACCTCATCTTATAAGTGAAGGTTACAGTTTTCTGCTGTAAGCTGGACACCAAAGCATATGTGATCAAAAACCCTACAAATATTAGTGACTATGGCATCATAAAAATAAAATAACTAACCCAATATTTATTAAAGTCAATTTTTATAACTTCAAGCTTCATCATTAGGTGCTGTGATATTTGCCTAATTTTTATTACCCCCCAAAATGTTATTAGAACAAAAATTAATAGAAAGCCACTGTAAAGAGGAGCAATTTGATATTAATTTGTTTTCCATCACATCAAATAGTATGGAAAGTTTCCAGGCCCTTACAGTAGGAAATTACAGGTAGGATGTTGAGGTCTGACAGCGTTCTGAGTGACAGGTTTTTCTGTTTCTCTAGAATGAGGAGGCTCCAAAACAAGAAATCATAAACTCACACATATTCTGACAAATTTAACTCTCTCATTATTGTGAATCAGCTAGAAATTTTATTTTAATCATCATACTTCTGGATGCATCATTTTGCAACCCTCATTGCTTCTGCAGGTGGATTATAGGAGAAAGCCTTTGTTATGTCTGATTAGGCTCCTTAAAATCTCCTTGACCTCGGCCAAATTCTTTGAATTATCTGAGATCACTCTTCTGGTCTGCATAATGCTTATTTTCTTACAGGTTTGTAGTTGCAAAACTTGAAGTATACTAATGTTGTGTAGGGTTTTCCTGAATTATGGTATTAATAATCAGAAACAGATTCAATATTCTTCAAATATTTACACCATCTCAGGTAAAATGGATTTTCCTTTGAAATAAATCATGGAAGCAAAAACCTCCAAAACATTTGTATTTACTTTGCCTGTGTCTTAATCTAATAGTAAGGCAGATATAAATAGAGAATAATAACATGCTATGATATTACTGGGTGTCATATTCCCAGGAGTTAGAAAAATAACATAGCAAGGCAGGTGACTTCTAATAAGTACCTTTTTTTTTTCATTAAAAACAACATGTGCCCTAAATAAAAATAACAGTAAATGGAAAGTGCCATTGGCATCATATGAAATAATACACACTTTACAGGCAAGAACCCTGTACAGTATGTCTTATTATTTCTATTTGACTGATGAAGGAATTGGAGATGGGTGAACCCAACTATATCACTCAGCATCACTCAGCTTGTAAGTTGCAAGTGTCTCTTATTTCAATGCCTGTGCTCTTATCACCATATGATGACACTGCCAAAGAAATGTGTTGGCATGAAAGTAAAATATTGTGTACTTTGGATGATGGATGGAGCATTTTATTAAAGAGACAGACTTATTCTGCATTCCCTCAGCCTTCCTTGTAATAAACCTTTCCATTCTGTAAAAAAGTTTTCATTGTTTTATGTTTTAAAATATTGCTTCTTTTCTTTTTTTAATACTGAAATTTAGTAAAATATTGCCACCTTGAATGATTTACCTACTGAAAAATATGCAATGCACCTAAAAAGACCAATTATGCCATTTTTAGGTTTCACAGAGTCAGAATTTCTAAGAAACAACATCTTTGTTTCTGTGATACTAGTGGATGATTATACACATGAATCTCCAGCAAATTGTCTAGTTTGTTTAATTACTTATGTAAAATTATCATTTAGGATATTGTTTATTCATGTTAAAAAACTATTCTTACATAATTAGAATTTATATTTTAAATAGAAGAGAGGAACTATGCTTGATACTGTGTGATGAGCCCACAAGTTTAGTCCCTCACTGTTTGCTGTTTTATGGTCAACTAACTTAAAAATTGGTGTGATTAAAACAAAACATAAAAATTTAAAAAAAAATTGATATAGCCTACAAAAGACTTTTTCTCAGATTCTTATTATGATTTAAATAGCAGACTTGCTTTTATGGCATGACAGAAGCCCTGGGGCTAAGAGATAAAACATCTTCTCTCTGTTACATTAAATCTGCTATCTGTTCTATCTGTTAAACTAAAACCTGGCATTTATAGCTTTGAAATATATATTACACATTAGAGATGTCCTAATTTTCTGTGAGCTAGTAAATCTCATTGTTCTACTTGTATATTTTATGGAGCCCATCAATATTATTGCTTTACTGTGTGTGTGTGTGTGTGTGTGTACATATATATATACAGTATGTATGTACATACAGTGTGTATATATATAGTATGTGTATATATACAGTGTATGTGCATGTACATATAGTGTATATGTGTATATATGTATACACACCGTGTATGTATATGTACTGTATATATGTGTCTACGTGTGTATGTGTGTGTGGTATGTATGTGTATGTATGTGTATATATTTATAGACTGGTGGAGCATCCCTAATCCCAAAATTCAAAACCCAAAATGCTTCAAAATCTGAAACTATTTGAGCACAAACATGACATAATGATAGCTTTGCTTTCTGATGGATCAATGTACACAAGCTTTGTTTCATGCACAAAAGTATTAAAACTATTGTATGAAATTACCCTCAGGCTGTTTTTATAGGTGTATATTAAATATAAATGAATTTCATGTTTAGACTTGAGTGCCATCCTTAAGGTATCTCACTATGTATATGCAAACACTCCAATATCTGAAACAATCAGAAATCTGAAACACTTCTGGTCCTAAGCACTTTGAATAAGGGATGCTCAATCTGTACCTGCAGTTAATCATCATATATACAAACACACACACACGCATACATATATACACACACATATATGATTATAACTTCAATTACTTATATATATGTATATGTAATTACTGCAATTATGTATACATATATGTGATGCAGAAATAAGAGTAATATATGCTTTTCCGGCAAGTGACTATTTCTTTCCATATGGGCATAGTATTTTTGTATAAAATAATACAGTCATACCTTGGAGATATTGTGGGTTCACCTTTAGACGACCACAATAAAGCAAATATTGCAATAAAGCCAGTCAAAGGATTTTTTTAGTTTTCCCAGTGCATATAAAAGTTACATTTACACTGTACTGTAGATTATTAAGTATGAAATAGCATCACGTTTTTAAAAATGTGTATTACTTACCTTGATCAAAAATATTTTATTGCTAGAAGATGCTAACATTCATCTATGCCTTCAGCAAGTCATAATCTTTCTTCTGGCTGAGAGTCTTGCCTTGATGTTGGTGGCTACTGACTGATCAGAGGGATGGTTGCTAACGGTTGGGGTGGCTTTGGCAATTTCTTAAAATAAGACAACAATGAAGTTTGCCACATTGATTGACTCTTCAGGAACTATTTCTCTGTAGCATGCAATGCTCTTTGATGACATTTTACACACAGTAGAGGTTTTTTGAGAATTGGAGTTGGTCCTTTCTAACTCTGCTGCAACCTTATTAAGTCTACATGATAGTCCAAATTGCTTGTTGTCATCTTCATAATGTACATAGCATCTTCATGAGGAGTAGATTTTATCTCAAGAAATCAATTTCTTTGCTCATCCATAAGAAGCAACTACTCCTTCTCCAAGTTCTATCATGTGATTGCTGCAATTCAGTTGCATCTTCAGACTCCACTTTTAATTCTTTGTCTTCCTATTTTCACTACATCTGTAGTTACTTCCTCATGTAAAATTACAAACCCCTCTATGTCATCCATGATGGTTGAAATCAATTTCTTTTAAACTCTTGTTAATGTTGCTATTTGACCTCCTCCCATGAATCACTAATGTTCTTAATGGCATCTAGAATGGGGAATTCTTTGCAGAAGGTTTTCCATTTACTTTGCCCAGATCAACCAGATAAATCACTACTTATGACAGCTATTGATTTATGAAATATGTTTCTGAAATAGCAGTACTTGAAAGTCAAAATTACTCCTTGATCCATGGGTTGTAGAATGGTTGTTGTGATAGCAGGCATAAAACCAACATTAATCTCCTTGTACATCTCCATCAGAGTTCTTGGGTCACTAGGTGCATTGTCAATGAGCAGTAATATTTTTAAAGGAATTTTTTATTTTTTTCTGAGCAGCAGGTTTAATAGTATTATTAAAATATTCAGTAAGCCATGCTGTACACCAGATTTATTGTTTGATTTATAGACTACATGAAGAGTAGATTTAGCATGTATTTTAAGGGCTGTAGGATTTTCAAAACAGTAAGTAAACATTGGCTTCAACTTGAACTCACCAGGCCCACTAGTGCCTAGCAAGAGACGCAGACTGTCCTTTGAAGATTTGAAGCCATACATTGACTTCTCCTCTCTAACTATGACAGTCTTGAATGGCATATTTTTTCATCATAAGACTGTTTCATCAACACTGAAATCTGTTGCTTAATATAGTCATCTTCGTCAGTGATATTACTAGATCTTCTGGATAACCTGCTGCAGTTTCTACACCAACACTTACTGCTTCACATTGCACTTTTATGTTATGGAAATGGCTTTTTCTCTTAAACCTCATGAACTAATCTGCTAGTTTTAAACTTTTCTTCTGCTGTGTCCTCACCTGTCTAAGCCTTTATATTGCTGAAGAGAGTTAGGGCCTGGCTCTGGATTAAGCTTTAGCCTAAAGGAATGCTGTAGCTGGCTTCATCTTCTATCTAGAGCACTAAAACTTTCTCCATATCAGCAATAAGGCTTATTCACTTTCTTATCATTCATGTGTTCATTGGAGTAGCACTTTTAATTTTCTTCAAGACTATTTCCTTTGCATTCCAACTTGGCTAACTGTTTGATGTGAGGCCTAGCTTTTGACCTGTCTTGGCTTTGACATGACTTCCTTACTAACTTAATCATTTCTAGCTTTGGATTTGGTGAGAAACATGTGACTCTTCCTTTCACTTGAACACTTAGAGGCCATTGTAGGATTTTTAACCCATTTGGCTTAATTTCAATATTGTTTTGTCTTCAGGAATAGGGAGGCCCAAGGAGAGGAAGAGATGGAAACAAACAGCTGGAGAGCAGTTAGAACACAAACAACTTTATTAATTTTGTTTTCATCTCAGAAGGGCATGGTTCGTGGGACCACAAGACAATTAAAATAGTAACATCAAAGATCACTAATCACAGATCAACATACAGATATGAGAATAATGAAAAAGTTTGAAATACTGTGAGAATTATTAAAACGTGGCATAGAGAAACCAAATGAGCATATGCTATTGAAACAAAGGTGCCAATAGACTTGCTTGATGCAAGGTTGCCACAAACCTTCAATTTGTGAAAGAAGCAACATCTGCAAAGTACAATAAAGGGAAGCACAATGAAATGAGTTATATGCTTATACATTAATATAATCTATTATATAATTATAAAACATAATATTATATAATAAATGTATTAATAGTGGAACTAAGGAATATATTAATGTATAATATATTAATGTGATGTATTGAGATATTAATAAAAAATTGATATAATATTAATAGTATTTTATATATACATATATTGCCCATATATTTTAGAAAACATAGTCATTTACTGATAAAAGCACATATTACTCTGATTTCAAAATGTAATTTCATAATAAAGTGGGCAATAGACTTAGTTGATTATTTAGTTGCCCACTCTTAGTTAATAATGACCTATACGGCCAAACTGTTACTTGAGTAAAGAATGGACCAATAATTTGATACATGGTAAATATGATTTTTTTCCACATAAAATTATAAAACATGTGTATACATTTGTGGCACCTTTAAAAATAATAAAAATAATAATTTTTATATTCTGACAGTAAAATCACAAGAATCTCTTCTTAGTAAACAAGGATAAATTGTTCAGTTGCAAAAAACATAAAAAGCAATAGCTTTTATTTCTTCAGGTTTTCCTTATTATAAATGTGCAAATAAGGTTACATTTGGGGAGAAATTTTCCTCTGTTTTGGGAAATTTCTTTCTGATCAAATAATCTACCTAAAATAGACAGGTTTCCGCAGATTTTTATGCAGTTTGCTAGATATTTTTTTCTATATAAATAATGTAATGTATCTGCTATGGGAGAGGGTTTCTGACAAGTCTACATTATTGGTGTTTTTCTTGTGGACAAATGATTTTTCTAAAGCCTGAGTGGATAATGGACTGGACTTTTAGCTATAATAGTCCTTATTTCATCTATGTTGTTTAACTTCATCTATATTGTTAATTTCATGTGTATTGTTCAATCAATCTATTATGTGTAACAAGTATACACTTAGCTAGGTTCAGATTACATAGTGTGGTGGAGAAGATCATGTGATGGCCAAATGCCCTTGCAAAGAAAGACCTGCTACTCTAGCAGCTGGGAGTACTTCAGCCCCTTCTCTGGCTGCCTCAGCTACACAGAGCTGCCACAGGGCCTGAATTGTAACACAGCTTCTCCCTTGGCCTCTAATAATCATGACTGAGGTTCTCCTTCCTTGAAGAGTCATCCAGCCTGAAATCCAGAACTCTGAGAGGCTCAGAGGAGACAAGAATTCCATTGTGGAATACATACATGTTATACACACACACACACACACACACACACACACACATTTTAAAATTATTTTTTCCTTTTTATTCCTCCTGCTGTGTGTGCATGTGTGTGTATACAAATATGTATATATGTGGTTTGTGCAAGCTTTTTTCTTCTTTTATTTAATATCATGTGAGCATTTTCTGAGATAAATAAGAAATCTAGGCAAATTTTGTGTTTTTAAAAATAATCACTTTGCATAGCTGTGCCAATATTTATTTAACTAATTTATATTATTTAGCAATAGCTTTCTATTCTTCAGGTTTTCCTTACTATAAATCAAGCAACACTAAATGTCTATAAATTTTTGTGTACAAGAGTTACTCTTTTATCTCTCCTATGACAATTCCGATTATTACAAATTTGAATTTATGAAAAGCAATTCAATATATTTTATTTATAGATACAGTGGTTTCATTTTAAAATATAAGTGGGTCCAATAAAATGTTAATGAATAACAAAAATCAGAGCCTAAATAAAATTCAATTTATTAAAATAGGTTTTTAAATTTTTGATGAGTGTTGAATTAATCATGAGTTTTTCATCCAGGTCTTTTATTTTGAGAAAATTACAAAATTTTATAAACCGGATCTCTCGTCTTCAATTATTTGTTCCCCATTAAAAAAAATTACTGTGCCCTGGAAACTATAAAATTTTTAAGGCAAACTTTTTTTTCAAAACTTTTGAGTTAATTCTGCCCTATTAAAAATTTTTATAACTTGTAATTGGATTCACTAGTTTTTATTACCATCTATAATACTTAAACAGTTTATAACCAGATTTAATGATGTTAATCTGCTTTCCAGGATAATCTGTAATGCCTCTGCTTGCTTGTTATCTAATATTTATTACATATATACATAAATGTATATATATCTAATATTTATTAGATATACACATAAAAATGTATATGTGTGTATATATATGTGTGTGTATATATTTGTGTAAATATATATACGTATATACAGACGCACACTTTTTTGCCCCAGCCACCTCTAGCCAGATGGCATATTATTGGTTGTAGTTATAATACTATATTTTTTGTTGCACCTAATTAGTTACTGATGGAAAAGTCCATATAACTTAAACACCTAAGTCCATATTAAATACATGTGGATCATTAAGGAAAACTGCTTCCAACAAATTCAAAAAATACAAGTATACAAAGGAATTTCTGTACTCAAATATCCCTGTTTCTTTTTTAATATTTGTTGCTCGTTTTCAAACTGGAACAATGTATGGAAATGTTTTGCCAAATGCGTTATATGTTTTTGTTTCATTTAAAGAAAACTTACACTATCAATATTGAATTATATCATCCACTAGTAAAACCAACTGCTTATGTGTTACTTTTTAAAAATTATTTTTCTAAAACATCTTACCCACCTCCTAGCCAATATTGTGTTTAAGCTGGGATTCACAGGCCAAGTATTGGGGGAAGGAGTCTCTGTCACTGATGAGCAACTAAAGATCAATATGTCCAAGATTACCCAGGATCTCCAACATCTAACAGGTTTTTAGATTTTCCTTGGGAAATGTTTTCCATTTTTTTCTACTTCTCCTTGGGAAATAATACCTTCATAAAATTAGGGGAAAAGATATCATCATTAAATATTATGTTAGCTGCAGGGTTTTTTTTATTATTCAATTCTATTTAATTACAAAACTGCTGCTCATAACCCATGGAATTGATTTCTAATTCACTCATCAGTCATGACCCGCAGTCTGAAAAATGCCAGTACAAATAGAACCCAAAAGCTAAGATCTCACCTTTTAAATGTTTCACAAAAGTATATAAAAAAGGAGAAAATATATGGAAAATAAAAATTGTTTATACTCGTATTTTTAGTAAATGTTTCTTTCTTCTTTATGAATTTTGTAGCAAAAGAAACCAGTCAATTGTTCTCTGACTTTGGGGAAGAATATGCAGGCATTAGGTCAGAATTTCAGACATGCATGCCCTGGTTGTGGAAATAGGAGACCCCTGAGCACATGGCCTGCCTGGGCTTTGGGCTTCCTTTCCTGGTGGTATGCCAGCAGGAAGGAAGCTGCTGTCACTGAGGTGTGTGTGTTCCTTCACTGCATCCTGTTCTGGGATCATTCATGTGAATAAATGCAGTCTTCTTCAGGCATGATGATGAAGTCTTTCCTCTTGTTCTGTTGGTGTGCGCTGCTTGTGGGACTTGTGACTTTGTCTGCTAAGTTTGGGCCATAGTCTCATGTGGCTGAAACATCCTCTGTAGGTCTTGATTATTATTTTACTGAACTGCCATAAATTACATGGGGAATCCTGGCATGTTTGGGGTTCATAGAAATGAGGGGCAACACATAAATACAGGGACAAAGATAACAGTATTCTGCCCTGTATTGTGAGTTTATATACGTACATAAACGTATATAAATGTTTATATAAACATATGCTAATATACATACCCATTTATGAAACTTTGATTTATGAAGTAGGGTATGTGGCAAAATATGCCCTGTATCTAATGTGATGGTTTTAGAGCCCCCACAAAGTGTCAAAATCCTACCATGGGCTTTGTGGATTTTCTGGCAGCTGAGTTTGCCCAGGGATCAGCTAGGGAAAGGGAGAGATACTCGACCTCCAGGTGAGCTTCCTCCCGTCCCCCTGCTCTTGCCTGGATAGAACCTAGGACTTTGTCTCTCCATGCCACATTTTATCTCCCTAACAGAAACAACAAAGTATCCTTTTCCTTGGTTGTACCCAGATGGATTGCAGGAAATCCATCAATGCTCATTTGAGGATAGACAGAATAATCATCCAAATGCAAGGTATAGTTTCATGTGCTACTCTGGAGTGGGCAGGAATGCTACCTTTCTTGTTATCTGTAACAAGAAATATCCTTGGGCCATGTCCTGAAATGACTTATAGGAATGCTGCAAGCAACCAAATGGAGTAATAAACAATTTATCACTAGATTGAAAATTTACCTAGTTTGCTCTTTTATTAATAACAACTAGAAAGTCATAATGATGATACAGATGACAATAATCTGAACCAAGATTTGAATAGTTACAAAATAATAACCATATATTGAGCTTTTGCTCTGTGCTCTGCTAGGGGCTTTGTCTCAGTATGTCTGTTACTGTAACACTGAGATGTACACATCCTTTTGTATGATTTTCCTTTGACACGTACATCAACAGCACAAGGTAATAGTAGTCCCATTTTCTTTGGAATAAAATGTAGTTTTGCACATGAGCTGGATAAGTAATTTTAAAAATATTTTAAGAAACGTTATTTTTTAGAAAGCTTTTAATTCACAGAAGAAATAAGTGGAAAGTACAGAGAGTTACTGTATAATTCCTGTCCCTGCATGGCACAACCTCTCCTGCTTTCAATATCCTGCACCACAGTGGGACATTTATTATATTAGATGAACCTACCTTGACACATCATTATCACCCAAAGTCCGTAGTTTAGGATTCACTGTCAATATGGCAGATTCGTTGGGTTTTGACAAATGAATAATGACATGTTATCTACCATTAAAGTATCATAAACAGTGGTTTTGCTGCCCTAAAAATCCTCTGTACTCTGCCTATTTATTCGCTCACCCTAAGCCAACTCCAGGCAACCACCGATCTTTTTACTGTTTTCATAGTTTTGCCGTTTCCTGAATGTCATATAGTTGAAATTATATAGTACGTAACCTTTTTAGATTGGCTTCTTTCACTTAATAATATCCATTTAAAGTGCCTTCGTATATTTTTATGGGTTGATAGCTCATTTTTAAGCCATGAATAATATTCCATTGTCTGGATGTACCACATTTTATTTATCCTTTCACCTAACAGAAGAACATCTTGGTTGTTTCTAAGTTTTGGCAATTATGAATAAAACTGCTATAAGCATCTGTGTGCAGTTTTTTGGGTGGGTACATTTTTAGTTCATTTAGGTAAATACCAAAAAGTGCAATGCTGGATCACATGATAAGAGTATGTTTAGTTTTGTAAGAAACAGCCAAACTGTCTTTCAAAGTGGCTGTGCCACCTGTATTCCCATAAGCAATAAATGAAAATTTTTGTTGTTCCAAGTACTCACCAGCATTTGGTGTCAGTGTTTTGGATTTTCACCACTTTCGTAGGTGTGCATTGATAATGCATTGTTTTAATTTGCAATTTCCAAATGACATACGATGTTGAGCATCTTTTCATATGGTTACTATCTATATATCTTCTTTGGTGAGGAGTTCAGGTCTTTTGCCCATTTTTAAATTGGATTGTTTGTTTTCTTACTGTCAAGTTTTAAGAATTCTCTGTATGTTTTGGATAACAGCTCTTTCCCAGATGTATCTTTTGAAAATATTTTCCTCCAGTCTGTGGCTTGTTTTCTCATTGTCTTTTACAGAGCAGAAGTTTTTCCTTTTATAAAATTCCAATCTTGCCAGAAGCGGTGGCTCACGCCTGTAATCCCAGCACTTTGTGAGGCCAAGGCGGGTGGATCACCTGAGGTCAGGAGTTCGAGATCAGCCTGTCCAACATGGCAAAACACCGCCTCTACTAAAAATACAAAATTTAGCTGGGCATGGTGGTGCATGCCTGTAATTCCAGCTACCTGGGGAGCTGAAGCAGGAGAATTGCTTGAACCCAGGAGGTGGAGGTTGCAGTGAGCCGAGATTGTGTCACTACACTCCAGCCTGGGCAATGGAGTGAGACTCTGTCTTTAAAAAAAAAAAAAAAAAAAAAAGGAAAAAAAAAAACCCAACTTAGATTTTTTTTATTTTTCATGGATCATGGCTTTGCTATATCTAAAAAGTTATTACCAAACTTAAAGTCATGTAGACTTTCTTCTCTGAGCTGCAAGTTTTTGGTAGATGGTATTTATCAAATTGAGGAAGTTTCCCTTTATTTCAAGTTTGCCAGAAGGTTTTATTATGCATGAATATTGGAGTTTGTCAAATGCTTTTTCTGCATCTATTCCTATGATCGTGTGATTTTCCTATTTTAGTTTGTTGATATGGTGAATTTCATTGATTGGTTTTCAGATGTTGAACCTTGAATCTAGACTTGTATATCTATAATATCTCACTTTTGTAAGGCATTATTCTCCATTATGTTGGATTTGCTAATTTTTTGATGAGAATATTTACATATGTGTTTATAAGAGATACTGGTTTGTAATTTATGTTTTCTTCTAATGACTTTATCTGGTTTTAGTATTATGATAATTTTTCCTTCATGGTAAGAGTTAAAAATTTTTCTTTCTGCTTCTAATTTCTAGAATATCTTGCATATAATTCATGTAATTTTGTCCTGAAATCTTTATTAGAATTCATCAGTGAAACCATATAGGCCTAATTTGTTCTGGTAGGTTATTAATTATTAATTCAACTTATATAGTAAATATAGGCTTATATATATTATCAGTTTATCCTTAGGTGAGTTTTGATATTTGTGTATTTTAAGGAATTAGGTCCATTTCATCTAAGTTATCAAATTTGCAGGCATAGAGTTGTTTATCATATATCTTTATTATCCTCTTAATGAACATGAAATCTGATGACCCTTACTTCACTTCTGATACTGTGACCTTGTGGTTCTTTTTTTTTCCTTTTTTTTCTTGTTTAGCCTTCCTAGAGGTTTATCAATCAGTGCTATTTTCAAAAAACAAGATACTTGTTTTATTTTTTCTATTGTTTTAATGTTTACAAATGTATTGATTTCTCCTTTGTTATTATTTCTTTTATTCTTTGTGTTTTGGGCTTAATTTTCTTTTACCATATTCCACAAATTTTGCTATGTTGCACTTTCATTTGTCATCTAGTTCAAACTATTTTAAAATTTCTCTTGAGATTTCTTTGATCCATGTGTTATTTTAAAGAGTTTTCTAAAAGTTTCTGAATATTCGAGGATTATTCAGGTATTTTTCATCATTAATTTCTAGTTTAATTCAACTGTAAGCTGCAAAATACTGTGTATGATCTCTATTATTTTAAATTTGCTTAGGTGTGTTTTATGGCCCAGAATATGGTCCATCTTGGTGAATGACCTAAGTGAACTTGAAAAGCTGTTGTTGAATGGAATATTCTATAAACGTAAGTTAGATAAAGTGCATTGATAGTGCTGTTCAGCTCAGCTATATCTTTACTAATTTTTCGGCTGCTTAATATATCAAGTACTGACAGAGATATGTTGAAGTCCCCTGTTATAATTTTGGATATGCCTATTTTTCTCTACAGGTCTACCAGCTTTTGCCTTATGTATGTTGATCTGTTGAAGTACCTACATTTTTAGGATTGTTGTGTCTTCTAGGAGAATAGTCCTTTATCATCATATGATAGTCTTATTTAATCTTTTATAATGTCTCTTTTTTTTGAATTTTGATTTATGTGAAACTATTCTAGATATTTTTAAATTAGTGATAGCATGGTATATGTTTATCCGTCTTCTTCCTTTCAACTTATCTAAGTATTTGTGATTAAAGAGAATTTGTTACTTGTAGAAAACATCTAGTTGATTATTACTTTTTAATAATCCATTTTGACAGTATTTGTCATTTAATTACTGTATTCAGATGGTTAATATTTATTTTAATGTTTATTTTTTACAGTTCAGTGACTTTTTTTAATGTTTCAATAGCTTTAGGGGTACAATTAGTTTTTTGTCACATGGATGAATTGTATAGTGGCGAAGTCTGGGATTTTAGTGCACCCATCCATCTCCTGAGTAGTGCATATTGTACCCAGTTTCTCGTCTTTCACCCATTTCCTACCCTCCTCCTTTTTGAGTCTCCAATGTCCACTATACCACCCTGTCTTGGTGTACCCACAGCTTAGCTCCCACTTACAAGTGAGAATGTGTGATTCTTCGTTTTCCATTCCTTAGTTACTTCACTAAGAATAATAGCCTCCAGTTCTATCCAAGTTCCTGCAAATACATTATTGCATTCTCTATTATAGCTGAGTATTATTCCATGGTGTGTATGTGTGTGTGTGTGTATATATATTTCTCATGGGTTGATGAACACTTAGGTTGGTTCCTTATCTTTTCAACTGTGAATTGTGCTGTGATAAACATATACATGCAGATGTCTTTCTGATTTAATGATTTATTTTCCTTTGGATAGATATCCAGTAGTGGGATTGCTTGATTGAATGGTAAATCTTTTAGTTCTTTGAGAAATCTCCATATTTTTTTCCATAGAGGTTGTACTAATTTACATCCATGCCAACAGTTTATAAGCATTGTCATTTCACCACATCTGTGCCATCTTTTTATTTTTTTGACATTTTAACGATGGCCATTCTAGCTGAGGTAAGTGGGGATGTCATTCTGGTTTTAATGTGCATATGCCTGATGATAATAATGTTGAGCATTTTTTCATGTTTTTTGGCCATTTGTATATCTTCTTTCGAAAAAAGTCTATTCATGTCATTTGCCCACTTTTTAATGGGATCATATGTTTTTATCTTGCCTATTTGTTTGAGTTACTTGTAGATCCTAGATATTAGTTCATCAATGGATGCATAGTTGGCAAATATTTTCCTCAATCTGTAGGTTGTCAGTTTACTCTGATGGTTATTTCTTTTGCTGTGCAAAATCCTTTTGGTTTAATTAAGTCCCATTTGTTTTATTTTTAGTTTTGTTGCATTTGCTTTTGTGATCTTTGTCATAAATTCTTTGCCTAGGCCAATGTCCAGAATAGATTTTCCTAGGTTTTCCTCTAGAAATTTTATAGTTTCAGATCTTATATTGAAGTCTTTAATCAATCTTGAGTTAATTTTTGTATATGGTGAGGCATAGGAATCCAGTATTATTCTTCAACATGTGGCTATCCAATTTTCCTAGCACCATGTATGAATAGGGAGTCGTTTCTCTAATTTTTATTAATTGCATGCTTTGTCAAAAATCAGTTGGTTGTAAGAATTTGGCGTTATTTCTGGGTTCTCTATTCTGTTTCATTGGTCTATGTATCTACTTTTATACCAATACATGCTATTTTAATGACTATAGCTTTATAGTATAACTTGAGGTTGGGTAATGTGTTGCCTCCAGAATCTTTTTGCTTAGGATTGGTTTGGTTATTCTAGACTTTTCTGGTTTTGTATGAATTTTTCAATAGTTATTTTCCAATTCTGTGAAAAATGTTGTTGGTTGTTTGATAGAAAATTCATTGAATCTGTAGATTGCTTTGGGCAGTATGATCATTTTCATGATATTGTTCTTCCAGTCAATGAAAATGAAATGTATTTCTATTTGTTTGTGTCATCTCTGATTTCTTTCAGCAGTGTTTTGTAGTTCTCATTGTGATATATTTCACTTCCTTGGTTAAGTGTATTCCTAAGTATTTTTTTTTTTGTAGCTCTTGGAAAGGAGATTAAGTTCTTTATTTCATTCTCAGCTTGAATTGTTGTTGTATAGCAGTGCTGTTAACTTGTGTACATTGATTTTGTAACCTGTGAGTTTACTGAATTTATTTATCAAATCTAGGGGTCTTTTGGAGGAGTGTTTAGCATTTTCTAGGTATGAGAACATATCATCAGCAAACAGAGATAGCTTGACTTCCTCTTTTCCAATTTGGATGCCTTTTATTTCCTTCTCTTGCCTAATTGCTCTGACTAGATGATTAATATTTAAATTATTAGTATATTTATATTAATATCTACCATGTTTTAATAAATGTTCTACTTGTTGTATTTGTTCATTGGCCTTACCTTCCTCTTCCATTGAGTTCCTTCTTTGATTTTGAGCGTAATATGTTTCATTGTATCTCCTTTGTTAACATTAAAAGTATATTTCTTATAAAAAGAATTAGTGGTTACCTTAGCATTTCTAACATATACTTATAACTAATTTAAGGCCATCCTGCAAATACCACTATACTGTCTCAGGTGTACCACAGGTATCTTACATGATTTCCTGAATCTTTCGTCCCATCTCCTCTGTCATTGCTATAATTCATTTCACTTTTGTAATAGTAATTTTGTTGTTATTATTATTACTTTAAACAGCTAACTTTTAGAATGATCAAGAATAAGAAAATCAAAATTTTTATTTTACATTTATTTATTCTCCAGCACTCTTGCTTTATGGATATCAGAGTTTCTAATTTATATTATTTTTCCTCTCTTTGAAGAAAACTTCTTTTAAGATTTCTCGTAGAGAAAGACTTCAATGATAAATTCCCCCTAGTTTTTGTTTGTCTGAGTTAAGTCTTTATTTCTCCATCACTTTTGAGTCATAATTAATTTAACTAGACATATATTCTAGGTTGGTGGATTTCTTTTTTCAACACTTTAAGTATTTTATTTCACTCTCTTCTTGCTTGCATGATTTGTGACAAGAAGCCTACTGTAACTTCTATCCTTATTCTTAGATGTGTATTAGTTTCCTAGGACTGCCATAGCAAATTACTATAATCTGAGTGACTTCATATGATGTACTTTCCTCTTTGTGCCTATGCCCAAATTTCCCTCTTTACAAGGACATCAGTCATTTGACTAGGTCTCACCCTAATCCATTATGACCTCATCTTAACCTGATTGATTATCTCTGCAAAGATCCTAGTTCCAAATAAGGTCACATTAATGGGTACCAGGAGTTAAGGCTTGAATATACTTTTTCGTTGGAGACACATTTAACTAACTCACAACAGTAGGTAAGAAAGATTTTTTTTTTTTTTTCTTCTCTGGCATTATATGAGATGTTCTCATTGTTTTTGGTTTTGGCTGTTTAAATAATATGATACATATGATATGGCTAGTTATTTTTTTTTAAAAAACACTTGCTTGGTGTTTTCTGAACTTCTTACATCTTTTTTTGTATATGATTGATTTTGGAAAGCCCTTGGCCATTATTACTTCAAATATTTCTTGTGCTTTGTTATCTCTTTCCCTAGTATTTTAATCATGTGTATGTTATGCACTTTGAAATTTTCCCCAAATTATTTGATGTTCTAGTCTCTCTCTGTTTTTCTCTTTTCACTTGAATTTGGAAAGTTTTATTGGCCTAGTCCACTCTCAGTCCCCAGAAATTCAATTAAACTACCACTTAAATATTTATACCGCTTTATGATTAAAGTGATTTCTGCTCTAGGCAAGAAAATCTCGGCTCTGATTCTTTCAATTAACCTCTCTTGTCAGATATCATGGTGGTCAATTTGTTCTAAAACCTTATTTCTTTGATGGGTTTCAGAAAGGTCGTGGATTCTCACTTTTGTAAGTTACTTTTTTCTTGTTTTAAGGATGAAAGCAATAACTTCCAAGCTCTTCACATACTGGAGTTGCAACTGGGAGTCTCTGTTGTTGTTTCTAAAAGTTTATTACTTCACTCCTTCTGTTTGAGTACTCATTATTTTAACAAAATAAAACTATCATCTTCCTCATACAACATTCAATATTAGTGGAAACACCTACTTTACATATTCATTAATCTTGTTTTTCCTCCTGTTTCCTGCATTTCCAACTATATTTGTAACTCTGTATATATTCATTCATTTACATCAAACTCTTCAGGTTATTCAACTTTACAAATTCAAAGTGAGCAATAGAAATTTACAAGTGTATTTGTTCTAACCATTCCTGAACTTTCTGCTAACATAAAGGAAAGATTTCCTCATTCATTTCTCTTCCCATACGAAAGTATTATATACAACCCAAACCAACAACAAATAGCATCATAAACAAACTGTCAAACCAATTAAATTAGAAACATGACAAGAATACTTACTAGCATAATTAACTAATATTTTGAGGTTCTAACATAATATGTAAATATAATAAAATTATTATAAAAGCATTAAATTGCTACATTATAAAAATAAAAGTAAACAGTTACCTCTCAACAGAAATTGTTATTATATAATTATGCAATTCTATAAAAGTTAGCAGACGATAGAAAAATTAATGTCTGGTAGAAACAAGATATTCAAAAACTAGAAACATGGTTTCCTTCTCTGTCTCTATGTCTTTCTTTCTCTCTCTTTCTACCTCTACTAAAAAAACCAGTTAGTCATAAAGATGGAAAGCTTTTTTTTTTGGTTACAATAACAATAAAAGCACTAAGTATAAAAGATAAACAAGAAAATCCAAAAGACATAAATGTTAAAATATATACAACCTTATTACAGTAAATAATAACTTAGAGTAATATAATATATTCCTACAAAGGTAGGTTCAAAAGTCATCATAATATTATTAATCTCTAAATTAATACATAAATTAATGCATTTCCAGTTAAAATCCAAATATATATGTTTAACAATGTAATATAATTTGAAAATGTGTATGTGAAAAGAATGTAAATTAAAAAAGATAAAATTTAAGAATAATGGACACCTGGTCTTGGAAGATATTAAAAACTTAAAATAGGACTGATATAATCAAAAGCTTGGCTCAGAAACTAGCAAATGCCAGGAGAACAAAATAGACAATCCACAATTTTTCTATGAGAACTCGTATGGCATTTCAACTTGTAAAATACTGTTTTATTTAGAGATTTTGGAACCATTGGTTGGCTGCTTATCTCATAGAATAGAAAGTTGGAACCCTAAAATTAATAATAAAAAATTAGAATATAACTTCTTTAGTAAACTGGAAAACCCAAAGTCTATGAAGTAAATGATAGACAGACATATTGTATTATCAAACTGCAAAGTGTGTATGACAGATGCTGCAAAAAATAAACAGAAAATTGAGAGACAGATGAAATATTTACAACTTATGTGAAACCTTATACATCAATAAAAATTTACTGATTTGGTAACAATGTATCACAATAAAATGGGCAAATTATATAAAAAGACATGGGGAAAAAAGATATATAAATGAGAAGATCTTCAATTTATATTTTAGTTAGGGAAATGCCAGTTAAATCTGTAATTTAATTATTTGTAAAGCCATTGGATTGTCAGTTGCATCACTGCTGAGTCTTAGCAGGATATGAAATAATACATTGTATGAATTTCTGTTAGGAAGAAATATTGATATTTCCTGGAAAGTGCTGAAGAAAAAAATACTTTTATAATTTTGATGATGACACAACAGAAGAAAAAACAGTGCTAATTTCTAAACTGCTAATTTCTGAATCAGTTTATCTTGTCACCTATTTGATTTTCTTGGTCTCAGACCAGGCACCTATTTGATTTTCTTGGTCTCAGACCAGGGCATCTTACCCTGTCATCTCTTTGATTTTCTTGGCCTCTATCAGACTAGGATATCCCTAATCTACAATTTTTGTTTGTTTGTTTGTTTGTTTGTTTTTGAGACAGAGTCTCACTCTGTTGCCCAGGCTGGAGTGCAATGGCATGATCTCGGCTGACTGCAACCTCTGCCTCAGCCTCAGCCTCAGCCTCCTGAGTAGCTGGGATTACAGTCACCTGTCTTGGTGCCTGGCTAATTTTTGTATTTTTAGTAGAGACGGGGTTTCACCACCTAATTCTATAATCTTTAGTGGAAAGATGGTTAAAATAAGAGTCTCCATTTGAAGAATCTTAAATTACAGTCAATAAGAGTAAAAATATGGAAAACCATTTCTACAAAATATAATATACCATATGGGTCTTGAATGTTTGCATCATTACATACTGAGAATTCATTATATAATACTCTGTCTGTTGAGGAATAACAATGTTGTTTGTTTAATCCGGAATTGCATGTTTGGAAATTGTTCTCAGTTATAATGGTAACGTTTGAAAGGGTGACAGATTTAGCTCTAGCAGTGCTGCAAAGCCCCTTTCTTAGTATAAACCATCAAAAAACAGTAACAAACACTACCATTTTGCTGCTTATATACCTTGTCTTAAAGAAGGAAAGGGTAGAAATAAAAAGATTTCAGAATTTATGCCAAACATATGTTAGACAAAGTACTATACCAGGAAGTAATATAAAAAAAATAAATTGCAGGCTTCCTCAAATAAGAAGAGTATCAAAACTCTCCTAAATTCTGGTATATTTTAAAGTTATTTATTTGTTTACTGAAATATATTTGTACTTACACTTTATTATGCTTGTTTTGGAAAGGTAAATTTGCTCCAATGTATTGATGCATTAGGGATCAATTCGAGCATAATAAATATTTCACATTTGTTTAAGCATGATTCATTTCTTGAAGTAAAATTAGGAGAAAGCAGAATATTGCACTCAGCTAAATCAGCCTGTATAACAATCAACAAAATACACAGTAGCACACACTTCAAACATATACCAGTTCTCTTAATCCAATGCATTCACAATCCTAAAAATATGTTCTGCTATTCTTCACATTTGTGAAGTTTTCTTTTTTTATATTAACACAAAAATACTGCCAGGCACAGTGGTTCATGCCTGTAATCCCAGCACTTTGGGAGGCCGAGGCGGGTGGATCACCTGAGGTCAGGAGTTCGAGAGCAGCCTGGCCACCATGGTGAAACACCATGTCTACAAAAATACAAAAATTAGCCAGGCGTGGTGGTGCGCACCTATAATCACAGCTACTTGGGAGGCTGAGGCAGGAGAATTGTTTGAACCCATGAGGCGGAGGTTGCAGTGAGCCAAGATTGCACCACTGCACTCTAGCCTGGGCGACAGAGTGAGACTCTGTCTCAAAAAAAGCCAAAAAACAGAAACAAAAGTAAAAGCACTCATTTATTATTCAAAACATGTGCAAGAGTCCTGGTTCAAAAATACCATGAAGTTGGTGCAAAGAGAAGTTTAAAGTGTTGAAGTGAAGCTTGAAATAATAAAATTTTTTAAAAAAGATAGAAAAACCAAAACCTGAGAGAACATGTGATGTCTCCAAGCAGTGGACATAAAGTAACACATATGGCAGACTATGAAAGACAAAACAATGAAAAGCAAAGAAACGTCAATAGCTATAACAATACCAAGTGCTGCAAAGTCAATAAGAAGAAAGCCTAAAGAAATGGAAAGATTATCAACCATATGGCTTGAAACTCAAACAACCAAAGAATCAGAAACAAGCTCTTTACAACCAAAGAGAAAGCACTAATTATATATGAGGATTTTAAATGGTAAGCACCAAATTCTCCTAGAATGCCTCTTTTTAGTGCTATTAGGGTCTAAGAGTAGTAGTTTCAAATACGAGTTCAATTTCCAAACCCTTCAGCTACTGAGCAAAACTGTGAGAACAGATGAGAAAGTTGCACAAGAATTACCAGTGATGATGCAGAAATTGATTACAGGAAGACTATATATTGGAATTTTTGTTTTTCAGTTTCAATGGACAAGTATCATATATAAGCATATACCTCCAAAACTATATCTCAAAAGCAGAAAAATATATCCTAGGATTTAAGGCTTTGAAAGATTGCTTAACTGTCATATTTGACCAGAGGACCATGAGTTTACCCATCCACATCTGGTGTTAAAACTTTCCATCATATTTTGGATAGCCCTTCTTCCATTGCCTCACAATAATTCACTACCATTCTGAGAACTACTTCCACAAGCAAGTATCAGGTCTTTTCAAGATCAAGTGCCATATTTTTGAACTGTTGATGTGTTTCTTAACCATTTAGCACATGTAAAACTATGTTACTCCTTTGAATGTAGTTCCTATCAATATTATTTAATATGTCATTGATGACATTTTGAGTGTTTTGTTCCTAATCTATTTTATTCATGAGTTCCATACTTTTTATTGCACATATTTGCATAATGCAGTGATATTTAGGAGCACATATGCTGTGTTATAATTAAACGTTCTGTACAATTGAATCTCAGTTCCTCTCTGAATATTCTTTTTCTCCTCTCTCATGCTCACATTTTGTATTCTCTTCTCATCAGCAATGACCCTCTATTTGTTGACATTCTAAATTCCAAAGCTGCAACTGACTCAAATCTCTTAGCTAATAAGTAAATATAGTCACTCTGGCAAACAACATATGGCTAAAACAGGTAGTTCTTCATATTTATGTATTCAAGTTTATGTATTCAAGTATATTCACTTTAAGTTCATCAAGAAAACATTTTGTTAATTGGTTGTAGCAATAAGAAATTGTAGTGAATTGTTATTCTGGGCCTTATATTAAAATGGAATATCAAAAAAGTATTGAATTGTAGCATATACTATTCTAAGACCAAAAAAAAAATTGGTATGGTCTTTATATAGTTTATAAATGTAATACAATAGGATATTTATGAAAACAATATTGAATGGAACATGTTTCAAAACTGATATTTCTATTGTAAAATGCTCACCACAAATATAAGAATTTTAAGTGGCACTTTTTTGGTGTATTGTTGCCAAATACTTCCGGATATTTTATTGAAGGTGTATTATGTTGGTTTGCATTATTATTAAAGGGAAACTTCACTATGTTGTTTGCATAAGGAGTAAAAAAACTACACAATGATGAATATTATTAAGTAACATGTCAAGTACATGGCATAGGAAAAGGCGTTGGCTTAAAAATTAGACACTTTTTCTGTCAACACTGAGAAAGTTTTAACATTGGATTGGAGGATTTGGACTCACTATAAGACTAAAACTTCTTAAAAATCAGTAATTCATAAAAAATAATAAATATGTTTTAAATATATAAGAGGGCATTCCAATCAACTTGTGTACACATTTTCTAAACATGATGGATAAATTGGTTTTATGGTCTGTGGAACACAGCACAAAATGAGCGAGCAATGCAAATAAGAGTCTTATCTAAGTCCCTCCTCTGTACCCAGGGAGACAGAAAATTTAATTAAATGGCTTGAATAAAATAAAATATAGCAGTCGCAATATATTATAAACAAGTCAGCTAGGAAAATGAGAATAAAAGTAAGAAAAAAAGTCAGAATGAGGGCTTTTTGATTATAACAATAAAACAGCAATAGAACTAACATAACTAACTCCATTTTTGTTTAAATAACCTTTTCCCATTCTTACACATAGGCCAGGATAATTTTAGAACACTAAAATAATATATAAAAGCAGCAGTCATGTAGTTTAAAAAACTAATTCTGAAATTAAAGGAAAAGTATGTAAACAAGTATGTTTTGTTAAAGACTTAGAGGAGCACTGTGACCTGACAAAGGACAAGGAAGGAAGTTTCCAACCTTCTTGGACACTCGCTGGTGCCCAGATGTCTGTGGTTGTTAGTTACCTCTTGATCTCAATCTCTTTCTCTTCCCTGGCCTTAACATAAAAAGGGTCTAAATTTTGTACTGACTTAAGGTGATATTCTAGGACAATAGTCCACTATCTAGTCCACTATCTTCTTGGTTTGCTGATTCTCCAAATATACCCGTTTTCCTCCCTACCAACCCTTGTGTCTCAAGTCTGGCTTTTGAGCAGTGAGCTGCCAAACCTGGGTTTGGTTACATAATGATATATATGACAAGTCAAGAAATCCCTACGGTTATAAGTGAATAGATGCTGGGTAAGTGATAGGCAGTTTCAATTATCCCTGTCTCCTATTATTTACATGATTCTACAATCACCTCCTTTTGAGTGTGGACTGGACATAGTCACCTGCTTTGAAGAAATAGAATACAGAAAAAATGATTTTTCTATGATTAAGTTACAATAAAATTGTTACTTCCAATTTGCTAGTATTCTAGATATATGGCTTTTAAAGTACCTTGCAGTTTAGCCAGAAAAATAGTTATTTGGTTTATTTTAACTGTTGAGAACTCTATTTAAAATTAAATAGGGCTTATTTCATGGACTGTCTGAAGTGTGTGTATGTATGTGTGTTTCATAAATGCTATAATAGTTTTGAAAATGTTAGGCATATTTTATTTTACTTCAGAAATCTTGAAAGCTTGAAGAGAAATTCATATATATTTTTGAGTGGGACTTTCTATTCTTTTCTGTTATTGTGTATGGAAAACATGCATATAAACTCATTCTGTGATTAGTTTAGTTTAAATCACCATGCTCTGTTTTTAGATACTGAAAGTATGTTTCCATGGCAGTTGACTGTGGTTAGCAGAAACAGAGAAGTCAGCTATCTATAAACTCCCATGATGAGATGCCAGAAAAAGTCAAACTCTGGGAATACAGGGTAGTACAATTTATTGATTGACATAAACTTCTACAGTAATTCATCTGTTTTCCTGCCTGAATTTTTTCAAGCTGCAGCACAGTGATTATTTAATTGAGTTAATTAATTTATTTTAGAGACATGGTCTGACTCTTGCTCAGGCTGTTCTCAAACTCCTGGGCTCAACAAATCCTCCAGCCTTTCAAGTAGCTGAAACTACAGATGTGCGCCACCACATCCAGCTTATTTCTGGTCGGGCAATGCTGGAAAGATCCATGAATCTTACATTACTAATCTACCTGTTTGTTGTTCCAGTATGTTAAATCTATATTTCAATAACTGTTGACTTTTGCCAGCCTTATGTCTACTCTACCATCAGTAGCAAGACAATTGTGTAGATCAGGGTTGTCCATAGTAGTTAAAAGGTAAGAATCGCTTGGCATATGTATTAATATAGTAATTCTAAGGTCTGTCTGCCAGAAATTCTGATTCTAAAAATTGGTATGGATACCCAGAATCTGTACAGTAGATGACATTTTAAGTTAGAAATATTTAAGCAACACTTATAAAAATGATCAGGAAGAAGAAAAGAATAACAGAAGATACCATTTAAAAAATGCATACATCTTTTGGCCAAATTCCAGAAATTTAGACTAAAATGTTTTGAATAAAAAAGTGTTAAAATAATTTTATTAAATTTTATGCTTCTTGAACTTCAAATTGAAAGCAGAAGAATATTTTGGAAACATTATTTTATTATTTTCATGATCTCTAAATGGAAATCTGAAACAAATTGATTGGAAAGGTTGAAATCATTGATTTTTCAATAAGCTGCATAAGCAAAAATAAAAATAATAAAACAAAGAGTAATCCCAATTACAGACCAAAACATCATTTTTCTTTTGGGTAGAGCCTGAGATAGGGCATGTTAACCAAAGGGCATGGAATTGGGAACTAAATGTGGGCAGCCACCCCATGAAGAGCCACCTCTGCAGGCATAACTCAACTTGTGCCTCCTCCAGGAGAAATTAGGTGGATTTTGATATATTTTTAGAGCTGTTCTTCTCTAATGCAGCTATCAGGTCAATCACTGCATCCCCTTAGAGACAGACTGAGGAAAAGTTCAGGAAGGCCATGAATGTGTTAAGGGGCAATCCCTCCTGGGAAATAACAGAAATGGGGAGAAAATAAAGTGTTTCTTTAACATGGAAGTTAGTCAGTAACCTTGTTTGCTTACCAAAGAATTAGCTGTTTGTTTTAGGTGTCATTTCTCAGGATTTCTTCAGCTCCTACACTTCTCTAATTCTGAAACACTAATTCTGAAAATTGAGCCAGTCATAACAATTTAATTACACACACAAAGGGAGCATAACCTCAAGTTAACATAAAATTATATGATTGGACTAACATGCAGTTGTTACCGCAATTATCCAGTCTGACACTGTGCATTATTGCATTTCACATTGTATTAATATGTATAAAAGACAGAGGGTCAATAAATATTTAGCAGATGAATCAGAGTTGGCATCTCAAGAATATAAGGGTGATTTAGAAATTATCTTAAATAATCTAGAAGAAGCGCTGTGTGGGTTCTGTAGAGAAAACAAAGGAGAGGAAATTGTTTACCATCCACTCCTCACTTGGCGTATTCAGGGAATATCTAGTAGCTTTTTGATGAGGCATAGAGACAGAAGAGCATGGGGAGCTGCTTAAGAGGAGTCCTAAAAATGTGTCCAGGACAGCTTGCTGGAGTATTTATGACAAACTTAAGAATGTTCTCCTCATTTTGTGGGCCAGTAGTGTTCAAAATCTTTTTCATGACACTTATTTGTAAAAGTTTAAGAATTTAACCCCAATTATTTACATTTATATCTCTATCTTTAAAAATATAGATAACAAGTTATAAACATGTGTGTATATATATAATACTGTATATGTAATACTGTCAAATTGTCTAATGCTGCTAATAAACATATTTTTCATCTTTAAACATTAACAGGCAAAAAGATTTTTGATTAAATATACAAACAGATGCCCCTTGACTTATGATGGGGTCCTGGTCCCAATAAACCCATTGTTAGTTGAAAATATTGTAAGTCAAAAATGCATCCAATACAACTAACCTGCTGAAAGTTGTAGTTTAGCCTAGCCTACCTTAAACATGCTCAGAGCAGTTAGAGAGCCTGCAGTTGGGCTCAATCATCTAACACATCTAGCCTATCTTATATTATAATAAAGTGTCAAAAATCCTATCTAATTTATTGAATACTATACTGAGGCATAGTTTCTACTGAATGTCTATCACTTTTGTACCAGTTTAAAGTAAAAAAATCGAAGTTAAACCAACATAAGTTATGGACCATCTGTATTAAGTTTGTCACCCACCCAAACATGGGAAATAATAGTAAAGGGGTTTTTGAAAAGACAAATCCACAAATACAAAAAGAATAAAAGAGGAGTAAGCAACATTTTAGAGGGTAGAGAACATATGGAAGAGTGGTAACTTACTTACTCATTGAATCCATGGAAGACAAATCCTAAGCTCCCATGGGGAAAGCCAAGAACTAACTTGAGTTTTGCTTCAGTACTCACAAAAGGACCATGAACTCATGCCGCCATTAAATCTGTAAGTGTAAATGAAGACACTCAGCCATTTTAATAAATGGTCAGAGTACAGGATAGACTACAAGACCTCTCCACCTTACTTAGTGCAGTTGGAGCAGCACTCTTCTTCTCCATACTCATAGAAGACTGAAGATTTAATACTGGACAGGTTAAAATTGAAAGACTCTCATCTGGATATACTAGACAAATTAAGAAGGATATTATCCTGAAAACAGAGGTGCTGACTAATTCCAAACTGTACTGAGATTCCAAACTCCCTTTTGTCTCTTATCATCTCATAGATTATTGGCAAGCAGTCCTGATCCCCTTATGCTTACCTGGGAAATATAATGACCCCTGAAAGAAAATATTAAATATTTTTATATCATGGATTATCTAAGGAAACAGCTCTACCTCAGAATCTATTAAGCCAAAATTTAAAAAGTTCCTTCAGTCATTCTGAAATTCCAATAAGTGAGGGACTTCAAGGTAGCTGACTAGAGGTATCTAGCATTTGCCTTGTTCACAAAGAACCAAAATAGGGAGATGATCACACTTGAAATATAGTGCCTAAGAAAGAACACCAGAATTCAACAGAGAAGTAACAGGAAGCAAGGAAAGAGAGAAAAGTCAGGTAGGCCAGGCTTGGCCAGGAGCACTGGGTAGGGTCTGCAATGTGGGGGAAGAGCAACTCAGACATCCCCAGCAGTCCACATCCCCAAGTAGACTCCTGTGATTCTAGCCACAGGAGAGCCCCTTGACAGTCGCAGGTCCTGAAACCAACATAGAAAGCTACCTAGAGACTACAGAAAGGCATTACTCCAGAGAGAGCTCATGGTGAGGCCCATACACTGCCAAAACCTAAGCAGCTGTGGCACAGCACCATTTTGGGAGCCAAGACACCACCAGATTGCATCCCACCCTGGGGCCTAATAACATACATTTTCACATCCCTGGAGCCCCACTGAAATCCGCTGTCCCCAGCCACTGCCATTGCTGGCTGCTGCCTCTGGAAGCCTAAGCACAAGTCACTGGCAGCACCCCCGTCACCCTCATCGAGGTCAATATGCATTTATATGTACCTTGAGAATAAGCTACCATGCCTGCAGCTGTCACCTGGGGCCAAAAGACACACTCCTCAGCCACCTGGCTACAAGTGCTGCCATTAAACAACCCTCCTCTCCCTGGCAGCAGGGACACAGTGCCCTCACATATGCCATAAGGGCAGCAACCCCTCCTCACCACTGATGTCTTCCCCACATGAGACTTCACTGGTACCTGGAGATCACCCCACCCTGTTTACCACAGCCAGCACCCACATGCACCGCTGGGGCACCTGAGACCTACTCCTCCCTTCCTGGCTTGAATTTCCAGCATTCAAGAATGTCATTTGAAGGCTTGGGAATCACTCCATTCCATCCACCACCATTGGCCACTGAGCACTCCTCCTGGGGGCCTGAAAACAAGTCCACTCTTCCTGCCACTACACCAGCGTTAGCACTAAACTGCACATGCCACCAGCAGGCCTGGGGACTTACCCACACAGCAGTTGCAGCCATTGCCAACACCAGTGCAGATCACTTGGGAGTCAAAGGATCGTCCTGCCACAGCTGCTGCTATCACAGATGCCATGTCCTCTGCCCAGGGCCCCGAAGACCTGCCCACCTGCATGGACCACCACTGTCACTGATAGCACCTGAACAAGTCACCTGTACCAAGTGCCAGAGCCTGCTACTCTGGGGCCCAAGGACATACACACTAGCATTCCTGCTACCACTGGGGACTGAGATTGGCCCACCTGATGTCAGTGTCCTCAGCAAAACTTCACCACAACTTCCACTACAGCCATACAATCCCTTAGAGATAGTCAATATTAGGGTTGCACAGTGAAGTTTGGTTTTAGGCATATTAGTCCACTAATTTCATGGCACATGGATGGCCTCTAGAAAAATGAAAGTATGTTTGAAAGAGAACATTTCTAGCTGAAATGGCCAAGATGACTTAAGGGAAGAGGTGAATTGCTCAGAACCTTGAGTGGTGGTTCGTTTGTGTTCATGGATGGAGGTGGGGGACAGGGAGAGCTTAAAGAAATCTGCAATGCGAGAAAGGGGCCAAGACAGACAAATAGAAACAGCTCCCATCTGCAGCTCCCAGCGAGATGAACACAGAAGGTGGGTGATTTCTGTATCTCCAACTAAGGTACCAAGTTCATCTCATTGGGACTGATTAGGCAGGTGGCGTGACCCATGGAGGGTGAGCAGAAGCAGGGTGGGGTGTCACTTTACCCAGGAGCTGCATGAGGTGGGGGGACCTCCCTCCCCCAGCCAAGGGAAACAGTGAGGGTCTGTGCTACCTGCCAGAGATACCGCGCTTCTCCCATGGATTTGTGCAATCTGCGGATCAGGAGATTGCATTGTGAGTCTATACCACTAGGGCCCTGGGTCTCAAGCACAAAACTGGGATAACCAACTAACCAACGACAGCCACTCCCGCCAGTGGCTGTTCAGGCTGGCACTGAGCTGCAGGAGTTTATACATACTCCAGTGGTACCTGGAACTCCAGTGAGGCAGGAGAACCTCACAGGAGTGGAAAGGCTAAAGCCAGGGAGCCAAGCAGTCTTGATCAGTTGGTCCCACTCCCATGGAGCCCTGAAAGCTAAGACCCACTGGCTTAAGACCCCTACTACCAGCACAGCAGTCTGGAGTCTGCATGGGAGGACTGAGTTTCCAGGGGAGGTGCGACTGCCATTACTGCAGCTGTAGTTGGTGGTTTTCCCCTGACAGTGCAAAGGAGACTGAGAGGTTTGCAGTGGGTGGAATTCTCCCACAGTGCAGCAAAGAGGCTGTGGCAGGCTGCCTTTTTAGGTTGGACCCAGAGCCATCCTTCCTCACTGGGCAGGCCATCCCTGCAGGAATTCCAGCAGCTCTAGTCAGGGGCTTACAGACAGAAATCTCATCTCCCTGGGACAGAGCACTGCAGGGGAGGGTGCATTGCGTTCTCAAGTTCAGCAGACTTAATCTTTCCTGTCTACTGGCTCTGAAGAGACTGGCTGATCCAGATGAGGGGAATTCCCCCAGCACAGTGCACTAGCTCCACTGAGGGAAAGTCAGACTGCCTCCTTAAGCAGGTCTTGGATCCCATGCCTCCTGACTTGACTGGGTGAGACCTCCCAACAGGGGTCACCAGACACCTCATATAGGACAGTTCCAGCTGGCACCAGGTCAGTGCCCCTCTGGGATGAAGCTTCTGAAGGGAGGAGCAGGCAGCAATCTTTGCTGTTCTGCAGCCTCCACTGGTGATTCCCAGGCAAACAGGGTCTGAAGTGCCCCCAGCAAACTGCAGCAGCCTGTTAGAACAAAAACAAACAAACAAACAAACAGAAAATAACAACAACAACAAAGACCCCACAAAAACCCCACTGAAAGGTCATCAGCCTCGAAGATCCAAGGTAGATAAATCCACGAAGATGAGCAAAGACACGGAAAATTGCAAAAGCCAAAATGTCTCTTCTCCAAATGATTGCAACACTTCTCCAGCAAGGGCACAGAATCAGGCTGAAGCTGAGATGGATGAACTGACAGAAGTAGGCTTCAGAAAGTGGGTAATAATGAATTTCTCTGAGCTAAAGGATTATGTTCTAACTCAATGCGAAGAAGCTAAAAACCATGATAAAAGATTACAGGAGCTGTTAACTAGAATAACCAGTTTAGAGAGGAACAAAAATGACCTGATGGAACTGAAAATCACAGCACGAGAACTTCAAGATGTTAACACAAGTATCAATAGTCAAATCAATCAAGCAGAAGAGAGAATATCAGAGCTTGAAGAATAGCTGGCTGAAATAAGGTAGGCAGACAAGATTAGGGAGAAAAGAATAAAAAGGAGTGAACAAACCTCAAAGAACTATGGGACTATGTAAAAACATCAAACCTACAACTAATTGGAGTACCTGAAAAAGATGGGGAGAATTGAACCAAGTTCGAAAACACACTTCAGGATATCACTCAGGAGAATTTTCCCAACCTAGCAAGACAGGCCAATATTCAAATTCAGGAAATCTAGAGAACTCCAATAAGATACTCCATGAAAAGATCTACCCTAAGACACATAATTGTCAGATTCTCCAAGGTTGACATAAAGGAAAAACTGTTAAGGGCATCCAGAGAGAAAGGCCAGGTCACCTACATAGGAAAGTCCATCAGACTAACAGCAGACCTCTCAGTGGAAACCCTCCAAGACAGAAGAGATTGGGGACCAATAGTCAACATTTTTAAAGAAAATAAATTCTAACACAGAATTTTATATCCTGCCAAACTAAGCTTTATAATAGAAGGAGAAATAAAATATTTTTCAGACAAAGAAATGCTGAGTGATTTTGTCACTACCAGGCCTACCCTGCAAGAGCTCCTAAAGAAAGCACTAAACATGGATAGGAAAATCCATTACCAGCCACTACAAAAACACATTGAAGTACACAGACCAATGACACTATGAAGCAACTACATTAATAAGTTTGCAAAATTAACCAGCCAGCATCATGATGACAGGATCAAATTCGCACAACAATATTAACCTTAAATGTAAATGGACTAAATGCCCCAGTTAAAAGACACAGAATGGCAAGCTGGATAAAAACATAAGACCTATTGGTGTGCTGTATTCAAGAGACAAATCTCATGTGCAAAGATGCACATAGACTTAAAATAAAGGGATGGAGGAAAATTTACCAAGCAAATGGAAAACACAAAAAAGCAGAGGTTACAATCCTAGTTTCTCAGAAAATAGACTTTAAGCCAACAAACATCAAAAAAAGATAAAGAAGGGCATTATGTAATGTCAAAGGGTTCAATTTAACAAGAATAGCTAACTATCCTGAATATATATGCACCCAATACAGGAGCACCCACATTCATAAAACAAGTTCTTAAAGACCTACTAAGATACTTAGACCCCCCCAACACACACAATAATAGTGGGAGATTTAATACCTCACTGTCAGTATTAGACAGATCATTGAGACAGAAAATTAACAGACATTCAGGACTTGAACTCAGCTCTAGACCGAGTGGACCTTATAGGTATCTACAGAACTCTCCACCTCAGAACAATGGAATGTATGATTTTTTCTATGCCACATGGCACTTACTCTAAAATTGATCACATAACTGGAAGTAAAACACTCCTCAGCAAATACAGAGAACTGAAATCATAATAGTTTCTCAGACCACAGCACAATCAAATTAGAACTGAAGAATAGGAAACCCACTCAAAACAACACAACTATATGGAAACTGAACAACCTGCTTCTTAATGACTCCTGGCTAAATAATGAATTTAAGGCAGAAATCAGGAAGTTCTTTGAAACCAATGAGAACAAAGAGACAACATACCAGAATTTCTGGGATACAGCTAAAGCAGTGTTAAGAGGAAAATTTATAGCACTAAATGCCCACATCAAAAAACTAGAAAAATCTCAAATTGACACTGTAACATCACAACTAAAACAACTAGAGAACCAAGGGCAAAAAAACCCCAGAGCTAGCAGAAGACAAGAAATAACCAAGCTTTGGCTGGGCGCGGTGGCTCACGCCTGTAATCCCAGCACTTTGGGGCCGAGGCGGGCGGATCACAAGGTCAGGAGATCGAGACCATCTTGGCTAACACGGTGAAACCCCGTCTCTACTAAAAATACAAAAAATTAGCCGGGCGCGGTGGTGGGCGCCTGTAGCCCCAGCTACTCGGGAGGCTGAGGCAGGAGAATGGCGTGAACCTGGGAGGTGGAGCTTGCAGTGAGCCGAGATTGTGTGCCATTGCAATCCGGCCTGGGCTAAAGAGCGGGACTCTGTCTCAAAAAAAAAAAAAAAAAAAAAAAAAAAAGAGAAATAACCAAGCTTAGAGCAAACTGAAGTAGATAGAGACACACACAAAAAACTTCAAAAAATCAGTGAATCCAGGAGCTTATTTAAAAAATAATGATAATAAAATGGATTGCTAGTGAGACTGATAAAGAAGAAAAGATTCAAATAAACACAATCAGAAATAATAAGGGGGATACCACCACTGACCCCACAGAAATAAAATCATCAGAGAATACTATAAACACTTCTAGATTTTCTAACTTATTTGCATAGAAGAAATTGATAAATTCCTGGAGACACACACCCTCCCAAGACTGAACCAGGAAGAAGTTGAATCCTTGAGTAGACAGACAAGTTCTGAAACTGAGGCGGTAATTAATAAATAGCCTACCAACAAGAAGAAAAAAAAAAAACCCAGTCCCAGTTGGGTTTACAGCTGAATTCTACCAGAAATACAAAGAGGAGCCGGTACCATTTCTTCTGAAACCATTCCAAACAATTGAAAAGGAGGGACTTCTCCCTAACTCATTGTATGAGGTCAGAATTATCGTGATACCAAAACCTGGGAGAGATACACCAAAAAAGAAAACTTCTATCAAATACCCTGATGAACATGGATTCAAAAATCCTCAGTAAAATACTGGCAAACAGAATCCAGCAGCACATCAAGAAGCTTATCCACCACGATCAAGTCAGCTTCATCCCTGGAATTCAAGGCCAGTTCAAAATACACAAATCAATAAAGGTAATTAATCACATAAACAGAACTAAAGACAAAAACCTCATGATTATCTCAATAGACGCAGAAAAGTCCTTTGATAAAATTCAACAGCCCTTCATATTAAAAACTCTCAATAAACTAGGTGTTGAAAGAACATACCACATAATAATAAAAGCCATTTATAATAAACCCACAGCCAATATTATACTGAATGGGCAAAAGCTGAAACCATTCCCCTTGAAAACTGGCATAAGACAAGGATGTCCTCTCTTAACACTCTTATTCAACATAGTGTTGGAAGTTCTGGCCAGAGCAATTAGCCAGGAGAAAGAAATAAAGGGTACTCAAATAGGAAGAGAGAAAGTCAAATTGTCTTTATTTGCAAATGACATGATCATATATCTAGAAAAACCCATCAACTGAGTCCAGAAGCTTCTTAAACTGATAAGCATCTTCAGCAAAGTCTCAGAATACAAAATCAATGTGCAGAAATCAGAAGCGTTCCTATACACCAACAACAGACAAGCAGAGAGCCAAACCATAAAAACACTCCCATTCAAAATTGCCACTAAGAGAATAAACTACCTAGGAATATGGCTAACAAGGGAAGTAAAGGACCTCTTCAAGGGGAAACTACTAACCACTGCTCAAGGAAATCAGAGATGACACAAGCAGATGGAAAAACATTCCATGCTCATGGATAGGAAGAATCAATATTGTAAAAATGGCCATACTGCCCAAAACAATTTGTAGATTCAATGCTATTCCCATTAAACTACCATTGACATTCTTCACAGAATTAGGAAAAACTATTTTAAAATTCACATGGAACCAAAAAGAGCTCACATAGCAAAGACAATACTAAGCAAAATTAACAAAGCCAGAGGCATCACACTACCTGACTTCAGACTATACTACAAGACTAAAGTAACCAAAACTGCATAGTACTGGTACAAAAACAGACACATAGACCAATGAAACAGAACAGAGGCCTCAGAAATAACACCACACATCTACATCCATCTGATCTTCAACAAACCTGACAAAAACAAGCAATGGGGAAAGGACTTCCTGTTTAATAAGTCGTGCTGGGAGAACTGGCTAGCCATATACAGAAAATTGAAACTGGACCCCATCCTTACACCTTATACAAAAATCAACTCAAGATGAATTAAAAACTTAAGTGTAAAACCCGAAACTGTAAGAGCCCTAGAAGAAAATCTAGGCAATACCATTCAGGACATGGGCATGGCAAAGATTTTATGATGAAATCGCCAATAGCAATTGCAACAAAAGCAATAATTGAAAAATGGTATATAATTAAACTAAGAGCTTCAGCACAGCAAATGAAACTATCATCATAACAGACAACCCACAGAATGTGAAATAATTTGCAATCTATTCATCTGTCAAAGGTCTAATACGCTTTGTCAGAATCCACAAGGAACTTAAGCAAATTTACAAGGAAAAAACAACCCCATTAAAAAGTGAGCAAAGGATATGAACAGAAACATCTCAATAAAAGACATACATGCAGCCAAAAAAAAAATACAAAAAAAAGCTCGACGTCACTGATCATTAGAGAAATGCAAATTAAAACCACAATGAGATACCATCTCATGCCAGTCAGAATAGCAATTACTAAAAGGTCAAGAAACTACAGATGCTGGTGAAGTGGTGGAGAAATAAGAACACTTCTACACTTTTGGTGGGAGTGTAAATTAGTTCAACCATTGTGGAAGACACTGTGGCAATTTCTCAAAGATTTAGAACCAGAAATACCATTCAACCCAGCAATCCCATTACTGGATATATACCCAAAGAAATATAAATCTTTCTATTATAAAGATACATGTACGTGTATGTTCATTGCAACACTATTCACAATAGCAAAGACATGGAATCAACCCAAATGCCCATCAGTGATAGACTGAATAAAGAAAATGTGGTACATATACACCACAGAATACTGTGCAGCCATGAAAAGGAATGAGATCATGTCCTTTGCAGGGGCATGGATGAAGCTGGGAGCCATTATCTTCATCAAACTAATGCAGGAACAGAAAACCAAACACCACATTCTCACTTATAAGTGGGAGCTGAACAATGAGAACACATGGACACAGAGAGGAGAACAACACTTACTGGGGCCTGTTGGGGTAGGGTTGGGGGGAGGCAAGGAGAGCATTAGGAAAAATAGTTAATGCATGCTGGGCTTAATACCTAGGAGATGGGTTGATAGGCACAGCAAACCACCATGACACACCTTGGCCTATGTAACAAACTAGCACATCTTGCACATGTACCCCAGAACTTAAAATAAAAATAAAAATACAAAAGAAAGAAATCTGCAATGCTAAACAACAAAAATGGCAAATGCATGCAAATGTCAGTGAATATAAAATTAAAACAAAACATTTCTGTTTAATTTAAACAAGGTAAATAGACAACAGACTATTCACTTATTATAACAACTTTAGAAATGAGGTTGGATTGTTCACTGTTATACTTACATAATTCCATAACTGTGGTGCTTCTCAATCTTTTCTCTTGTTTGGAATAAATACTAGGTGGTGAGCCATGTGTTTGGTGGAATTTCCAAATAACTAATCAAATTCAACAGCAGACTTCTCCTCTCCCTTCATGATTAATTCCACATAATTCCACATAGTTTTTTTTTTTTCTTCCCATGTTCCCCAAGGCTTGACTTCTGTACCCAACCTAATCATTTTATTTATTTCCAGCTTTTCCTCAGGCAATAAAAATCTAGGCAACTGTAAGAGTTAATAACAAGCATAAAGGTTGTACTACATCAGTGTAGTTTTACAGTCTTGAATTTTAAATGTACAGAAACCACCAGAGTGCTCAATGGTAGGCTTCTGCTCATATAGAAAAGGGATGTGTTGAATTGAGCCATATGTTAGCCTCCTCCTTTATAACAATGCATGTTGTAAGAGATTACATGCATGGACTGCTTTATGAATTTTGCTGAAAAATTTATAGCATGTGTCTTCTGAACATAATTAGATCTTGCTATGTGATAAAAGCATTCTACTGAATTTATTTTATCTTGTAACTGAATAAATTTGCTTTGTTAATTTTTCAACATCTGCTAAATTTAAGTATATTTTTGCTATAAATTGTATTAGTATGTAACTGACTCTGTAGTAAAATTAATTCATTTTATATTTCATTTTAACTGATTGAGATATATTTACAATACCAGGAAGATCAACAGAAAGAACATAGGCCTTGAAAATTCTGATTTGATTACAAGTATTAGGTACTTTATGTTATCAAAATACATACAATGAAAGGGAAGGTCCTGGGGTGTCAGTGATGTCTTCAAACAGAATGTAGAAGGACATTATGTGTTGTGTAAGTAAAACTATTTTATTAACTCTCAGTCTCCAAATTTTGAAGATATGGAGAAGAAAGTTGAAAGACCTAAAAGAAAGGCAATATAAAATGGAAATCATGTAGATAGACACATATACTTTTATGCCCTTCCTCTCATCAGTATACATGTAATGTGTATTTCATACATTGCTATTGATTTTAAAACGCAAATATCTTTTTATTAAAAATTATCTTTCCCACATGAATTTTATGTACATTATATTAAAAAATATACAAAACACATATACAATATGTGTATAAAACATGTTATTTTTTTCATTGAAGAGTTTTCTTATTTGCTAAAGGTAACTCACTATTTTAAACCAGTTCTACTTTACTCTTCTTCAGAACAGGCAGTTTTTTGTTTTGAGAATATTATGCTATGTTTTATGACAACATACCTGTCAAGTTTGCATGGTTATCCTAATTAGAGAATTAGATGCTAATCTCAACATAACTATGATATAGGTAATGCATCATGGAAGTCTTATGTGACGGAAAGCTGACAGTTGCAGAACAGTACTCCTTGGCCTTCGTGGATCATGACCCATAGGTAGACTTTAAGTACTTTAAGTGTTTACAATTTTCTTACATGTTAAAGCAAAAGATCTTATCAAAGGCAATTTATGTGTCAATATTGATACGTACTTATTACATGTCCAACACAGCATTCATGTGCTAAATTTATTATTTTATATAATTTGCTTTATGTCTAAGATAATATTAAATAATAAAGGTACTTGTTAATGTCCTTCTAGGATCTCATTGTAACTGAATTAATACTAATCCTTTTCTTTTAAGATTTAAAATCATATTTGAACTTCCAACATCTGCTTAGTATATAGAAAGCGAGAAAAGCACCACTCTCTGTATTAGGCTATTCTTACGCTGCTAGAGAGAAATATCTGAGACTGGCCATTTTAAAAGAAAAGAGGTTTAATTGGCTCACAGTTCTGCATGTTGTACAGGAAGCATGGTGCTGGCATCTACTTCTGGTGAGGCCTTAAGGAGCTGATAATCATGGTGAAGTTTATCAGGAAGCCAGCATGTCACACGGTGAGAGCAATAGCAACAGAAGAAGGGAGAGAGGTTCCAGGTATTTAAGCAACCAGGTTTCACAAGAACTGAGAGAGAACTCACTTATTACCAAGGTGATGGTGCTAAACCATTCGTGAGAGACCCACATCCATGATCCAATCATCACCCACCACACCCCACCTCCAAAACTGGGACTCCCATTTTAACATGAGATTTGGAGGGCACAAGCATCCAAACCATATTATTCTATCCCTGCCTCCCCAAATCTCATGTCCTTCTCACATTTCAAAATACAATCATGCCTTTGCAATAACCCCAAAAGTCTTAATTTGTTCCAGCATTAACTCCAAAGTCCCAAGTCTCAAGTACCAAGTCCAAAGTCTCATTTGGAGATGTGTTCCTTCCACCTGTGAGCCCGTGAGATTAAATACAAGTTATTTTCTGTCAAGATACAATGGTGATACAAGCTTTGTATATATATTCCCATTCCAAATAGGAGAAATTGACCAAACGAAAGGGTCTACAGGCTCCACTCAAGTCTAAAACTTAGTGGAGCAGTCATTAAATCTTAAAGCTCCAAAATAATCTCATTTGACTCCATGTCCTGCATCCAAGGTATACTAGAGCAAGGGGTGGGTTCCCAAGTCCTTGGGTTGTTCTGTCCCTGTGGCTTTGCAGGGTGCAGGCCCTGTGGCTGCTCTCACAGGTTGGAGTTGAGTGCTTGTGGCTTTCCCAGGCTCAGGATTAAAGCTCCCAGTAGATCTATCATTTTCAGGTCTGGATGATGGAGGCCTCCTTCCCACAGCTCCACTAGGCAGTGCCCTGGTGTGGACTTTGTCTGGGGGGCTCCAATCCCACATTTCCCCTCAGCACTACCCTAGTAGAGGTTTTCTGTGAGGGTTCTGCCCCTGTAGCAGGTGTCTGCCTGAGCACCCAGGCTTTCTCATACATGCTTTAAAATCTAAAGGGAAGATGCCAAGCCTCCTTCACTATTGCATTATATGCACCCACAGACTTAAAACCACATGGAAGCCACCAGTGCTTATTGTGGCCTATGCTCTCCAAAGCAGTGACCCAAGTAGTATCTGGGTCCAATCAAGCTGGAGCTGTAGGTAGAGCAGCCAGGATTCTAGGAGCAGTGTCCTGGGCTTGCCCAGGGCAGCGGGCCATGGGTCTGTCAAAGAAACCATTTTTTTCTCCTAGGTCTCTAGTCTGTAATGAGATGCCCTGTGTGAGAGATTTCTGAAATGCCTTTGAAACCTTTTCCCCATTGTCTTAGATAGTAGCACTTGGCTCCCTTTTAGTCATGCTAATCTCTCTAGCAAATGGCTGCCTGGGCAGCTTGCTTGTATTTCTCTCCAGAAAGTGTCTTTTCCTCTTCTATCACATGGGCAGGCTGCAAATTTTTCAAATTTTGACACTCCACTTCTCTTTTAAATATGAGTTTCAACTTTAAGCCATTCCTTTGCTCCCACATATGATCTTAGGCTATTAGAAGCAGCTATGCTCACTTATTGAACTCTTTGCTACAGGAATTTCTTTCACCAGATACCTTACGTCATCATTCTTCACTTCAAACTTTCTTAAAGCCCTAGGACATGGATGCAGTGCAGCCAAGTTTTTTGCTAGGGAATAACAAGGGTGACCTTTATGCAAGTTCCTGATAAGTTTCTCATTTCCATCTGAGATCTCCTTAGTCTGATATTGCTGCCCATATCTCTATCAGCATTTTTATCTCAAACATTTAACAAGTCTCTGTGAAGTTCCAGACTTTCTCTCATCATTCTATCTTCTTCTGAGCCATCCAAACTCTACCAACCTCTGTCCATTACCGAGTTCTAAATCTGCTTCTACATATTTAGTTATCTTTGTAGCAATGCCCCACTCTTGGGTACAAATTTTCTGTTTTAGGCTGTTTTTACATTGTGTGAAGAAATATCTGAGGCTGGCTAATTTATACAGAAAAAAAGGTTTAATTGGCTCACAGTTCTGCTGGTTATACAAGAAGCATGGTGCCAGCATCTGGTGAAAGCCAGCCTGAGGAAGCTTTCAACCATGTGAGAAGGCAAAGAGGAAGCAGGCACCTCACACGGTGAGAACGGGAGCAAGAGAAAGGAGGTTGGGGAGAGGTCCCAGACCTTTAAACAACCAGATCCTGTGCGAATTGAATGAGAACTCACTTATCACCAAAGTAATGGTGATAAACCATTCCTGAGGGATCTGCCTCCATGATCCAGTTACCTTCCATCAGGTCCCACCTCCAACACTGGGAATCACATTTTAACATGAGATTTGGAGGGGACAAATGTCCAAACCATTTCACTCCTATTCTTAAAATAAAAACAACGAAAAACTAGACTAGCTACACATTCATAATTTTCTTGAACACTCCATAGATTTGAGTTTATAGGTCAACCAAATAACTAAAAATTTAACAAAAACAAGTTTCTTCTGGAAAAATGAGATTCAGGCACTTGCTTACCTGAGGAAGATGCTATTGCACACTGGTAAGATTAGTCTGGATAAATTGTTTAATGGAATGCTAAAGCCTGAGTATGGGATAGCAGAGAATGTAGAACTCCTGGTGGGTGCAGTCTGAGAGAAGACTTTTCTCTCACTCACAGGATTTTTTCCATAGAACTCAATAGCCTCACCAAAAAGATTGTTGAGCATCCTAAAATGTCTCCCTTGTGGTGCTATTCTGGGTTAAAGGAGACTCAGCAACTGCAGTAAAGATCCAAAACAAGCTTCAAATTCCTTCCCCCACACCCCTACTCCTCGTTTGTTGTTGTTGTTGTTGTTTGTTTTTCTACAGGAAATAAAAAAGCCTTAAGCTGTTGGTGAAGAGCACTATACAGCATTTTTCTTAGAGAAATGGTGAAAATTTATTGTATCTGAGAGAGGGAGACAGAAAAATCACTCCAACGTAGAGGAAGTGGCAAAAATGTGCTGTGATTAGAGTCTCCTCCAGTTGAGGGAGGAGCGTGGTCATTAGAAGGCTTTAACCCTGAAAGCCGGGAAACACAGTATTTGCCTAGAATGAAAGCTTAATCAGAACCACAGTGAATGCCTTCCCCAAGCCTCCAACTACCAACAGGTTAGCAAGCATCAAATAATAAGGAACAGCAGAATACTGCTGGGGAAGGAGCAAGAGCATAGAGAGAGATCTGCTTTGAGGCACAGCATGGAGGGAAGACCTAAAGGTGAAGGTAGGAAGGTCACATTCAAGGAATTTGAAACAGGTGGTTCACCAGAGGGTAACTATAACAACCACAAATCCCAAACCCAGCTGATTAAAAACTGGATTGACTCAATGCTCTGAACTAAAGGCAAAGCAGGAGAAAAGTAATGTCCAGTTAAACAAACAAACAAACAAACAACTTATTTGCCTCAGAATCAATACAGATTTCTAACTTTCAAAAAAAACTATGTGCCATATAAAAATACAAAACCCATACTCTTAAGAGAAGCAGAAGTCAACAGAAATTTAAATCATCCATCAGAAAGTATTGAGTTGTTTAGACACTATAAGAACCTTGGACTTTCTTGTTTCTCATTCTACACCACATTTATTAGATAGTGGAAATTAGAATTAGGAAAGTTAACAGAGGCTAATAGGCTAGTTAACAGGGAGTAAAATGTTTGATTGTCATAATCTAAATCTTGTGTCAAGAGAACATTCAATTATAGGCATTAGTTTCCATTTAGAAGTATGTAACACATTTCTGAGACATTGGCATTTTAAATGATTATATACTTAGGTACTTAAATAGGCTATCTAAAATACGTAATTATAAGGATAGCTACCTCCCTCATTGATGATGGATTAATTCTTTCTGTCCCTTTGATTGCCCTTTAAATCTCATATGCAATAAATTGTAGTAATTATTTGTGATGGCAAACTCACTTTTGCCCTGGCATAGTCCATTTTAATTTATCTAGTTAATTGTTTAAAATAATGTAATAAGCACCTTCAAACATACTAACCAAAACATAGCTCTTTTCCATGAGATTTGCTACTGATTAGCTTAATACTAATCATCCAAATGGATGTTTTATGAGGTTGCTGACTTCTATCAGCATAATTGTAATGGTTTAGAAGAAATTTTTCTTTTTCAGACTGATAATGTTTTCTTCTTAAAAACTGAAAACTTCCCAACATAGTGACATGACTTCTTTGCAATTATTTTTAAACTATTGCTATTTTTTAACTAAATGGCAACACCATGATAATGTTAGAGATTTTAACTTTATACACATAGAGATTTATAAATAACCACATTGGTTACTGCTGTTTAACATATTATATAACTTGTTGACTGGCATAAAGTCTTCAAATGCAGGAGATAAAAATTGTAATGATCAAATGAGACGTTTTCCTAGTTAAGGATTTAAAAATTATCTAAATTGTTTCAATTTTTTATATTAATGAATTTGGTGATAGATATGTTTCACTTAGTGCTTATTTTATCTTTTCTACTAAAACATTCAATGCTCATATTTTCCTCTAAAATGTAATAACAAAACTTTCCCTTGGGTTATCATTTCATCTTATTGTTAAAGAAGCTGGAAAGTGACACTAAAATAAACCAATAAAAGCAAAATAGATTGTAAATAATATGTTCTTTAAAACGTATTTTTATCATTTCCCAACTCCAACTTTTCATCCTCTTTTTTTGTTTTTTTTTTTTAAATTGTGGCTCCAGCAGTAGTTCAATTTCAGAATCAATTTCATAATATATGTTTTAATATAAACTCAGTCTTAGAAACCACTGTATTTAAAAGTAACCTAGAATAGGTTAGGTGTATATTGGATAATATTTCAGATTCATTTAACCCTTCCCTATCCTTCCAAGGTTGACTGAGGCTGTGTCAGCTACTTCTATGACATA